>NC_000020.11:9157244-9308759 GCF_000001405.40 Homo sapiens | reverse complement strand
ACCCTGCAGAAATATCAAGTCAACAAGTATTAAGCTATGTCAGCTCACAGAAGACCTAGTTTCTGCATCTGACAATCTGGATCTCTGGGAAGATCAGCGAATTAGCCACTTCATACATTTCATTGATTTTGAAAGGAACCAACTCTGACTCTAAATGAAGTTTTAATATGTTTTACTTTCAACTTCTTGGTAAAGGAAACATCAATTTCATTATACACTCCTTCCCAAGTCACCTCAAATTCAAGTACAACAGAAGAAAAATCATGCATTTACAATGCAAATGAGGCTTTAATTCACCTACCCAGCCATTCTGAACAGATTGGTGGCCCAAAGCCCCTGCTCTATAGAAAGTCTGGAGTCATCACCACCTTGCAAGGGCACAGACAATAAATGATAGAATCAGAGGCATGCAAAGCTTTGGTCAAAATGGTTTATATCAATGAAATGAGCAAAGCAATGACTGGCACAAAGTTCAATCACTATTACATTTATAACACATACAAAGTTAAATGTAGAATGACTGCCAAAAGCACTGCATTAAGCAAAAACTGTTACTATATAAAACCCATCTGTAAACTGAGAATATTAATAGCAACAACCTTGTAAGGTTGTTGTAAAAAATTAAACAAATAATACACATAAAATGTTTAGAAGGTCATCTGGCACATAGTGAGCGCTCAAAAATTTATAGTATCATTATCATTATTACTCTAGCTCATAACTTGCCTCTTTTCAACAACTCCAACCTATAAATCCTAAAGATGTTCTTACTTATGTCAAAGAATATTTACTCAATACTGTAATTAAAATTTAATAATTATTAGAATGTTTTGAGAGAAAAGATTAATAACACTTCTTTACCTCCTCGTATCTGTCAAAAACTGCTCCTTCTTGCAAAAAGGAGGGAACTTCCTTCTGCCAGTTAAATTCATAAGGTTTGGCCATGATTATATTCAAGACCTAAAAATGAAAAAGAATAGCTCGTTAGTATATAAAATGAAAAAACAATTGAGGATGGTTAATCACTTCGCATTTCTGTGTTTGCAGAAGATTTACTTTAAATATGTGGAATACGTTTTTTTCTTCTTCCCTTTGTCTGACCCCCAACTTGCTTTCTTTTCTCTAAACCTGGAGATATCATAATCAAGAAATACCAGAGGTGATCATTTGGGAAGTTTCCATTCCCTCTCCAAATCCTACAAAATAACAAGATGTGTGTGTGTGTGTGTGTGTGTGTGTGTGTGTGTGTGTGTGTGTGTGTGTGTATTCTTTTTTTAAAATCTGAAGGCACCAGATAAAATAAGGAAACCGTAGACCAAAATCAATACATAAGAGAGGCCTGCTGTAAATAGCTAAGGGCACTATGGGCTTGAAGGTGAACATATGGGCAGGAGGAGCCCACAGGGTATAAGTTGCAGAATCACGTAGGAATAGCCAGAATTTTTTATAGCTCTTGGTCCTCTCTTTAGCCCTCTCTTAGGCTCCCTTTCCCCTACCCCTTTGTTCCTCACCCCTTGGGCCACGTGGGGAACAAGAGAACTTCTGATTTTGAGACAGCCAGCTCATAGGGGGTCCCTGGAGAAACTCCAACCAGCCTGCCCACTGAGGTGGGGCCTCGGGGTGTTCACAATGTTTGTAGCAGAGAGGAGTCTGGCCCCTCCTCCTTCTGTGTGGAACTTGGGATTCCAGTGGCCTAGAATGAAGCCCTCTAGCAGGGATTCTGGGCTTGCAAGAGTCCCTGTTGCCCCATTTTCTTCCTTTTTACCCAATGAAACCCTGTCTTACTCGCCATTTAAATTGCCTGTGAGCTTGAATTTTCATGGCTGTGGGACAAAGAACCCTGTTTTTAGCTGAACTAAGGAAAAGTCCTGCAACAGTTTTATTATAGACAGTGAGTAGGACATTTAAAGAGAGGCTAGGCACTGTTCAGAGTGGCTCCCTGCAACTAGGAAGAACTCAGCGTTCCTTTTACCCATCCTTGTTGGCAACATGCACCATGGTATGTATGCAATAACTACAACCCAAACATCTTGCATGACAGGGGAGCATACAACAATGAGTCACCAAATAGTTAAGCAATGCAAAGAACATGGAAGAACACCAAACACATCAAGTAAAACTTACACCCAAGGAAAGAGGGTGAGCAGGAAAAACAGGACCTGACTTCAGCATACTGATTTTTTCAGAGGGAAGAGAGAGTATATTCTGTTCCTAAAATATAATTAACCACAGATACTAGAAATTTAAAACAAGATTGTTGAAATAAAACTTAATAGATGAGCTGAATTGTAAAGAAAACTCAGATGAAGTGTTGAGCCAAGGGATTCTTAAAAATGCAACACCACGCCGGGCTCAGTGGCTCACGCCTGTAATCCCAGCATTTTGAGAGGCCGGGGTGGGGGGAGGGGGTGGATCACCTGAGGTCAGGAGTTCAAGACCAGCCTGGCCAACATGGCGAAACCCCATCTCTACTAAAAAATACAAAAATTAGCTGGATGTGATGGCAGGCACCTGTAATCCCAGCTACTCGGGAGGCTAAGGCAGGGAGAATTGCTTGAACCCAGGAGACGGGGATTGCAGTGAACAAAGATTGCATCACTGCACTCCAGCCTGGGTGAAAAAGTTAGAGATATAGAAAATAGAAAGGAAAGGTTTACCAACCTTATATGGAGACAATGGAGGGATGGAAATAAAGTAACAGTAGAAGAACGTTTCTGAAACCTGAATATTTGAGTCCTCAAAGTGAAAAAATCCACTGATTCCACGTAGTATAAATGGGGGAAAAAGATATACACCCCCAAATATACCTCATGGTGACACTGAAGACACAAAATATGCAGAAATGATGAAATCTCTCAAAGATGCAGGAAGAGAAAAGATAAGCTAGAGGTAAATGACGATGAGACTGATATCAGGTACATCATCCACAACACTAAATGCAGTAAGACAATTTTGAAGTTCTGTGGAAAATAAATTTGGATTTAAAATTCTGTGTTCAATACTGTTTCAACTTTTAGGAGAAAAATGTAGTTATTTACAGACTTGTAAGTAATCAGAAAGATTTAGTAATCTACTCTGAAAAATTTAATGTATTATATACTCTGTCAGGGGAAAATAAATAGAGAAATAAGAGAGAGATGGGAAATAATGTTAAGAAAAATAAAGTAAAAAGAAACAATAGGCTTAATCTTAAGTTTTATTGTACTATGCCAAAAAAGTAGAAAAGAAAAAATATATTTAAAAATTAGCCAACCCAAATCCTAGATTATATCAATATATGAGTTGTGGCCAGTGAAGTGGTTGGAGGAACAAAGTATGAGACAAAGGGAAGTAAAACCATTTTGGGAAGGGAACAGAGATACTAAAAACTCTAGACATCAGTAGGAAAATAGAAGTTTAAATATGGGTGCTATGAATTTAAGAGTTCTCCTATAGAAAATTAAAATTAAAAAAACATAACTCCCAAATGATTAGCAGGGGAGAAATAGCAAAAGAAACTCGAGCCTCTTTTAAAAAGTAACCAGATAAAGAATGGAGAGAAGACAGGAACATATTATAAGTAGGAAACACAAAATAAAATGACACATCACTAAGCATAGTAAATACGAATTGGTTAAATTCACTTATAAAAGATGTTTTCGGATTAGGTAAAATTATGGTTGTTTACAGAAATATTTTGAAAACTATCTAAGAAGTTTGAAAATGCAGGGATGTTGGGGGGAGGGGGGCGGGATAGCATTTGGAGAGATACCTAATGTTAAATGACGAGTTACTGGGTGCAGCACACCAACATGGCACATGTATACATATGTAACTAACCTGCTCGTTGTGCACATGTACCCTAAAACTTAAAGTATAATTAAAAAAAAGATAGAACTAAAATTAAAAAAAAAAGAAAATAAAAAAGAAAACGCAGGAATGAAAAAAGATACCATAGGCACGTGCTAAGAAAAAAAGAAAACAGGTGTAACAACAACATGAGACAAACAGACTTCAAGAGAAAAAGCAGAGGCAGAGTAATAATACATCACATTAACTGCCATTAATATCTAAGCATGTGAGCACGCAGCATCACAACATTTGAAAATTGACAAAGTACACGGAGAAATTAGCAAAGTCACAAACAGGAGACAATGATTCTCAGAATAACAGAATAAGAAGACAAGTAAGAATCTCGAAGATCTGAATATCATACTTAATAATTTAGTACAACAACTTAAATAACTCAAAGTAACACAATTTAAATAACAGTACTTAATGATATTTATTCTCTCTCTTAATATATTTATTCTCTCTCTAAATACATTTTTTTTTCTTTCCCTCTTTGCACCCTGGCTACCCACACACATGTGACAATCTCAAAATCCGATCACGATTAGGCCCTAGAGGAAATTTCAGCATTTTTCAAAAGGCAGAAAATATTGTGGTCATGCTCATTGACAACAACAAGGAAACATATAAATTAATGACAGAGAGTGTACAACATCTATATACATGGAAATTAAACATTCACACCCCCCCACACACACATACATACACCCCTTAATCATTCTTGAGTTAAGCAGAAATTATAAACTTTTTAGAAAGAAAAGATGAGAGCATTACAAACCAAAACCTAGATATGTAATATGTAGCCAAAAAAAAAAAAATAGTAAAACAATGATCAGTAAAAGCAAAAGTTAATTGTTTTCTGAATTGGATATATATTTGGCAAGTACTTAGAGCAAGAGTGAGAGACACAGAGAGAGGGAGATTTAGGTGGGGGCAGAAGGGAGGATGAGGAGGAGGAGGTGGCTGCAGCACAAACTCACAACATTTACAATGAAAAGTGGGATATAATTAAAGAATGAGAATGTGAATATTCTAAGAGAATATTGTATATAACTTTAATCAGAATATTTTAAAAGCTAAATAAAAAGTATATATCTTTCAAAGTTAAAATACATTTGGCTTAAATTACTACAGCCATTGTCAAAAACAGTATGGAGGTGCCTCAAAAAACTAAAAATGGAATTTTAGTTTTTTGAGGAACTAAATGATCCAGCAATCCCACTTCTGGGTATTTACTGGAAAGATCTGAAATCAGTAGGTCAAAGAGATATCTGCACTCCCATGTTCAATGCAGCACTATTCACAATATCCAAGTTATGGAATCAACCCAAGTATCCCACAACAAATGAATGCATAGAGAAAATGTGGTGTATTATACACAGTGAAATATTATTCAGCCTTAAAAAAGGGAAGAAATTCTGTCATTTGTGACAACATGGATGGAACTGGAGAACATTATGCTAAGTGAAATAAGCCAAATACAGAAAGACAAATATCCATGTGCTCACTTACATGTGGAATCTATAACAGTTGAACTCATAAAAGCAGAGAGCAGAACAGTGGTTACCAAAGGCTGAGGGTAGGGGGAATGTGGAGTTGATAATCGAAGTATACAAAGCCTTCTATCAGTTACACAGAAGAAATAAGTTTGACTTTGAAACCTTTTGCATAGCTTGGTGAATATAGCATGTATGTACACACATAACCACATAGCTTCTACCCAAGAAGCTTAGAAACAAGCTTCTGAGGTAGATGATGTGCATTCATGCCTTCTATGCTATAAAACAGATCTGCAGAGAAAAATAGACCCACAGACCCCCCTTAATAACCAACTACAGGGAGCTAAGTGTTAGCTTGAAAAATAGATTAAAAAACAACATGGTGGCCATCCCAGTTTGCCAGGCTGTGAAGAATGGTGGGCAAAACATCTCTTTTCTGCAGAATTTTATGTGTTCTATGATTGTCTCACTCCTGACAACCATCCCTTTTAATTCATCCCTTTGGTTTCATTTTAAATCAGTAAGAGGCTTTGGATACAAAAAGTTTATATCAAAAATAAAAATAAAAAAAAAAAGCTTTTTACAGTTTGCATATCTTCCATTGGTTTAACTCTGGTTCTCCTAGAATCAACATGAGTACCCAGTATATGATGTTTCTCAGACCTCACTACTATTCTTAACTACTAAAATATTCATCTCTACCTTGGGTACTAATTTCATCACAATAGTCTCACTATATGAAGAACTTTGGAGGTGAAGGAGGAGGGTAATTTTGACCTTAATCTCTTCTGCAGTGGAGGTGAAAGTTCATTTCATTGCTTATTCCTTCATAGCATTGGGGTTCAGAACAAGGTAAGAAGTATTCTGGCAAAATGATGTTGGAGTATCCTGAGTGTTCCCAATTTGAAACTGGTGGCTGTGGTCGAGGCTGTTCTTTGTGCTATCTGTGGAAAACTTCCTAGGGCCTGGCATCAGGGGCACTAGCTGGGTTATTTTACACACATGGTACAATGATGACCTACAGACTAGAAAATGTTGACCCAGCCAATCCTGTTTCACTACAGTTTGATCCAGATAATTGATTTAAAATGGGAACAAACGAAGGTACACATTATAGTCCCAGTGACTGCAGAGAATGTTAAAGGGACAGTTACTTCTTTTTAAAAGAGGGGAGGAACTGGCCACCCTATAACTACATTCTTATTGCAATTATCTCAAATCCCAACCCACAGCCAACTAACTGGCTTGAAAAAAAAAAAGGCTTTGATTGTACCATGCCAAAAGTTCCTCTTCTCAAATTCTCTAGCTTGCCTTCCAAGGCCTCACTTACAAGATATTTCAAGGTTTAATTGTCTCCTCCACCTCCTAGAATGGCATCATCTCACCATGCAGAGCCCACAGGAAAGGATCCACCTTCTCTTTGAGGAACACGGGAAGTGGAAGAGACTTTACATTGTCAAAGAATAGACAGCCTGAAACCTCTTGCAGTGTAAACACATTGAGCAGTTACTGGAAGGAGGCCAGAAGGCTTTTAAATAGTCGCATTGTTCTAAATCCTTGTGCAACTGGATCGGATTAGCTATTGCACTAGGGCAGAGGAAAAACTCCCTGGACTGCAAGAAACTTTGGAAGCGGGGGACAAGAAAGAAGGGGAGTCCTAGAAGGTCTTGTTCCAGAGCAAGTGGCAAAAGCTCCTCCTAAAGATGATAATAAGAAACTGGCAGAGTTAGGAGGAACACAAGGGGGCTGAGGTGGGCTGTCGAGGGGCCAAATATTCAAGTAGGACATGTGCATTACCCATAAATATGGCCTTCTATCCATTCGGTTGGGGTGAACCAAGGAAGAGATTTGGTTTTCTTGGCCTACTCTGTCCTGAGTCTTTAAACCTGCTGTCTTGTCTTCCTTGCTAGACCTATAAGGTGGTCTTCAGGAATTACCAGACCACCTATCTCAGATGTGCTGGATCAACTTTAGAGTCAGTGCTGCTCACCCTCCCTCACCACCACCCCCAACCTAGACCAGTTTAGGTCAATACTTTCACAAGGAATTTTTTGTCTCTGGACATGTGCCTCACGTTCTGGTAGAGAGTGAACAGAGGGCAGTATGTGAAACCAGGCATATCTAAGGTACCTGGGTATGGCAGGCTGAATAAATGGCCCCCAAAAGATACCCACCTCCTAACTGCTGCAACTCGCGAATGTTACCTTACAGGGCAAAAAGGGACTTAGCAGATGAGATTAAGCGAAAGATCTTGAGATGGGGAGATTATTCTGGATCATCCAGGTGGGCCCTAAATGTCCTTACAAAAGGGGAGCAGGGGAAGTTTTGACACAAGCAGAAGAGGAGGAGGAAATGCGACTACGGAGGCAGAGATTAGAGTGATGTAGCCACAGTTCAAGAAGAGTTGGCAGCCACCAGAAGGTGAAATAGGCCAGGAATGGGTTCTTCCCCACAGCCTGGAGGAAATGTGGCCCTGAAAATACCTTGATGTCAGACGTCTGGCCTCGAGAACTGTGACAGAATAAATTTTGGTTACTTTCAGCCACTAGTTTGTGCTAATTTTTTATAGTAGCCCAGAAAATGCATATATTGGGCCCCCTGAAGCTGAACACCTTTCTTAAAAGAACTAAAAAGTTGCCAAATAAGTTTGGAATGCAGTACAGACTGCTCTGATTTGAAGGGAATGGTCATTCAACATGTGTGTTCAACTGAATCATCAGAGGAAGACAGAGAGAAAAGTACAGAATAAACTTCACCTAGAAATGAATTCAGATCATTCCTGTCCTTCTGTTCCAAAGCCCCTTTGAGGACTAATGACATTATTTCTGCATACTCTTCCCCAGGTTCCAAATGTCTTGTAACAATTTTGCATCTCAGCAATAAATACAAACTTCAAATCCTGCAGCTCCCCCGAAGCCAAACAAGGTGTTCTTCATTTTTTATTCCTATTTGTGAAAAAATGAATTCATCTGAAAAAGCATTTGCTTCTACTTGATAACATATAGCTTTCAAGTGAATAAATGCACCATGACTCAGTTATAAATTTTATTAAGTGCAACTTTTAACTTCAACCTTATGACAAAAAAATTTCCATAACAAATTAATCCCTTCCCCATCCAACCATACAAATCCCATTAAACCAAATAACCCATGACCTTAAGTGACCTCATGATGGCACAACCAAAGTTGTTTTCCAGAACATAGAGAGTTGGGATAAAATTTCCACTGACCACAAGTAAATCAGTTGAATCTATCACACATATTTCAGTGCCTTGCTCTTCAATCTTTAAATAAGATATCCTTATATTTCTAAAAACATATCAACAAGCTGTCATCAGATCATCCAGGGCTTTTAAATAAATGGCTTTACCTCCAGTAAGAATCTAATTTGACATTAATATATTGTATCATTAGGGATAACTTCCCCATTTGCAAAAATACCTCCATTTTTATTAAGCCATTAAATAACCTTTTCAAAAAACATACAAAGAGTACAGGAAGAAAAATATGATAATATGCAATGCTGTTGATGGATGGGGTGAGGGCATATCTGGTAAAAAAGAATTTTGTAATACATTTCTATAGCCTTGAAATATCCATACTCTTTTATCTAGTAATTGTACAAGTAGGATTTATCCTATGTAAATGTGTACAAAATCTATGCACAAGAATACTGTTGTGCTGTTTATGGTAGAAAAATATTGGCCTTATATAATCATCACTAAGCAATTGATTAAACACACTCTAGTACTTAAATACTGTACCCATTAAAAATAGTACTTTAAAGGAATAGTTATTTGCTTAACAATAGCAAATTTAGAAGAGTTTCTAAAAATATTCACAACTCTTGTGAAGCAAAGACAAATGCTCTTAACATACAGTTAAGAAAAAAAATAACCACAGGCTATAAAATTACACGAGTCTGATCCAAATTTTTATGTTATATATTATACACATATTGCTTACATATGTACACTGTTTTACAACGGGAAAAACTAGCAAGACATATACCAAAACAAATAGTAGTTACAGCTAGCTGATGTAATTTTAGAATTTTCTTTTCTTTAATACTTCCCTGTATTTTAAAATATTCATAGTGACTGTAATTTTTATATTCCAGAAAAAATATTTTCTAAAGCAAATGGAGGATACAATTTTAAAACTTGTTTCTTTTCATATAAATTAGTCTTAAAATAATGTCTATGTTTTCTAGCAGAAATCCTGGCAAGAACAAATAACAGGAAGAGATAAATACATAAAGCTGTAAAACGTTGTTCTCCCCTTTCAGAATTTAAAACCTTCCCTGTACAATGGGAGCCTTCACACATCCCAGTTATGACTGATCCTTATTCATTACTTAGTAAGGAGTTACTTAATATACTGACTAAAATGAACGTTAACTGAAACCTCTGCAATACTTATATTTGGGAAAAAACTGATTGTGATGGTACTGGAATTAGACTTTAATGAATTCTGGGCTACAAGAAATCTATGGCCTTTGCTATGATTTATCTATTATAAAGCATCACATGATTAAAAACAATTTCCTGGAGTGTATTAAAAGAACACAAATTGCACAGGAATAAAATAAAAACAGAAAGCAAGCATTCGCTATTTGTCCCTGCCTCTCGTACCTCAATATTAATCATAATTGAGGGGCAAGTGTAACTTCCTTAAAATTTAATAATTACAAATAGATGAATAAAAATATTAAAGTGTACTGCCTTTATAAATTTATTAGGTGATATTTGTGATCATGCTATTGGTTCCATTACATCAAGATTTTAAAAAACATGTCTAAAATATGTTTAGTTACCTGGGGTGAAGATCCAGGTTTATAAATGTATTAGATGACATTTGTGATCGTGTTATAGGTTTCAATCTATCAGGATTTTACAAAACATGTCTAAAATATGCTTAGTTGCCTGGAGTATTTAGAGATCCAGCTTAATTTAAATATAATGAATAACTGTCAATATATTCTAGGGAAGAAAAAGTAATATCTTTCCTCATCCATCACAAAGTTCATGTCTGAGACCCTCTATAACAAAAGACAGGTTAACAAGAGAGACATACAAATTTATTTAATGTAAGTTTTATGTGACACAGGAGCCTTCAGAAACAAAGACAGAAATTGAGATAATCGTATATTTCTATGTTTAGTTTTGATAAAGAATGGATAGTCATATAGAAGCATGATTAGACAAAAGTGGGTACGATATAATGGTCTTGAACTGGGGGGAACTGAGAAAGGTCTCTTCACATTCTTCTTGGTATCTTTGTGTTATCATTCCTTCCCTCCAGGCATAAAGTGGGACACCTGTCACATGAAGGTGTCTCAGGAAAGAAGGTCAGAGATTGACCTTCCAGCTTCTGCAGTTTTCTCAATTTCCTTTATCTCAAAATACTCAGTATGTCAAGGTGCCATGTTTTCAGGTATTGTGTTCTGAGCCCTGGCAATTTAATTCAATCTGCAATAATCAGTTTCAAAGAAATTAGAATACAACGAAGTATAACAACTTCCTAAGAGAATAACTGAGCTGTTTCAAAAGATTGTTTGGATGTTGGTTGTTTGCCTGTAGCAATTCCCTTGGAAATGACATCTGAGTTCCTATGCCAGCCCTCCAAAATCCTCTAGAACACATCAAGGAGCTGAAATCGTATTAAAAGTACATAGTTGTCCATGACTGAGGTTTTCCAGCCTGATAATCCCTTGTCATTCAACTTTAGAATGGTTCAAGCTAGGGAGCAATAATGGTACAGGAGGGCTCAGTGGCAGAAGTGGGGCCTATCTACACGTGATGTCCTCTGAGGGGTCATGTTCTTAAGTGCTTAGTAAATCCACCCCTGGCTTAACAGTATTTTGATCTTTCAGAAACAGAAGATAGTTTGTATATTAATCTTTTTTAAATTTCAATAGGTTTCTGGAGAACAGGTGGTGTTTGGTTACCTGAATAAGTTATTTAGTGGTGATTACTGAGATTTTGTGCACCCATCACCCAAGCAGTATACATTGTACCCAATGTGTAATCTTTTATCCCTCACCCCACTCTGACCCTTTCCCCTGAGTCCCCAGAGTCCACCATATTATTCCTATCCCTTTGCATCTTCATAGCTTGGCTCCCACTTATGAGTGAGAACACGTGTACACACATATTAATCATTTTTATAGTAGTGAATTACAGAAGTGACCGCTAGAAAGAAATTTTTTTGATAGCATGCAAGATATATCAACCTTTAGCAAAAAAATATATATATGGTGTGGGGGGGGGTGCGGGCTATAGAAGCCTGAGGAAAGGAATATATAATCTAACTGGGTTTTTCTCTTTCATGAATAATAAATCTATTTTAGTAGAATTTGTTTTTGACATATTATAAATATGCTCCAGAGTAAAAGTCATCTTGTTTCTTTTTTGTTATTATTATACTTTAAGTTTTAGGGTACATGTGCACAACGTGCAGGTTAGTTACATATGTATACATGTGCCATGTTGGTGTGCTGCACCCATCAACTTGTCATTTAACATTAGGTATATCTCCTAATGCTATCCCTTCCCCCTCCCCCAACCCCACAACAGGCCCCTGTGTGTGATGTTCCCCTTCCTGTGTCCATGTGTTCTCATTGTTCAATTCCCACCTATAAGTGAGAACATGCGGTGTTTGGTTTTTTGTCCTTGCAATAGTTTGTTGAAAATGATGGTTTCCAGCTTCATCCATGTCCCTACAAAGGACATGAACTCATCCTTTTTTATGGCTGCATAGTATTCCATGGTGTATATGTGCCACATTTTCTTAATCCAGTCTATCATTGTTGGACATTTGGGTTGGTTCCAAGTCTTTGCTATTGTGAATAGTGCCACAATAAACATACGTGTGCATGTGTCTTTATAGCAGCATGATTTATAATCCTTTGGGTATATACCCAGTAATGGGATTGCTGTGTCAAATGGTATTTCTAGTTCTAGATCCCTGAGGAATCGCCACACTGACTTCCACAATGGTTGAACTAGTTTACAGTCCCACAACAGTGTAAAAGTGTTCCTATTTCTCCACATCCTCTCCAGCACCTGTTGTTTCCTGACTTTTTAATGGTCGCCATTCTAACTGGTGTGAGATGGTATCTCAATTGTGGTTTTGATTTGCATTTCTCTGATGGCCAGGGATGATGAGCATTTTTTCATGTGTTTTTTGGCTGCATAAATGTCGTCTTTTGAGAAGTGTCTGTTCACATCCTTCGCCCACTTTTTGATGGGGCTGTTTGTTTTTTTCTTATAGATTTGTTTGAGTTCGTTGTAGATTCTGGATATTAGCTCTTTGTCAGATGAGCAGATTGCAAAAATTTTCTCCCATTCTGTAGGTTGCCTGTTCACTTTGATGCTAGTTTCTTTTGCTGTGCAGAAGCTCTTTAGTTTAATTAGATCCCATTTGTCAATTTTGGCTTTTGTTGCCATTGCTTTTGGTGTTTTAGACATGAAGTCCTTGCCCATGCCTATGTCCTGAATGGTACTGCCTAGGTTTTCTTCTACAGTTTTTATGGTTTTAGGTCTAAGCCAAAAGAACAAAGCTGGAGGCATCACGCTACCTGAGTTCAAACTGTACTACAAGGCTACAGTAACCAAAACAGCATGGTACTGGTACCAAAACAGAGATGTAGACCAACAGAACAGAACAGAGCCCTCAGAAATAATGCCGCATATCTACAACCATCTGATCCTTGACAAACCTGACAAAAACAAGAAATGGGGAAAGGATTCCCTATTTAATAAATGGTGCTGGGAAAACTGGCTAGCCATATGTAGAAAGCTGAAACTGGATCCCTTCCTTACACCTTATACAAAAGTCATCTTGTTTCTTATCTTTTATGCCTCTGAAATAAAGTATTTCTGTTCTTACTAAGGGCAGCAAAGAGCAGAGGGTATTTTATTACTACTGAGAATTTAACATAAACAGAGTTATCATCAGCCCTAAAGAATATAAAAGTTCTGAGAAATAAGAGGATTAGAGCACCCTGGGATATTTGTAAATGAAAGACTGTATAGTAGCAGTTTTTTCCCTCTCTCAAAAGTAGAACTTGTCACTGTTTTCAAGTACAGAACTAACAGAATACATGGTGGATGTCTATACTTTACCGCGCAGGAAAGCAACAACTTCTCCCTTAGTAGGAGGTGCTAGCCATATGCAACAATTTTCAGGGAGAGTTCAGCCCTTTTTGATCTAACAGTAGTAGTTCTGAGAAGGTCTTGGAACATAGAAAACAAAAGGGAAACATGCACAAATTAAGTATAGTTTTAGGTAGAGGTCACAGATTCCATACTGGTCTCTCCTGGATCTTTCAAGGGGTTCTTAACCCAGGGCTTCCTGGTCACAGAGGACCCTAGTCTTTAAAAAGTCCTGGGGTTCCAGAGTGGGGACTATGAGAATGGAGGCTTAGGTTGACCTCTTCCTCAGCTTAAGTTTCTTCTTTGCAGGAATACTCTTTGAGTTATTTCTTTTTAGCCAAGATGGGAACTCAAGCTGGGAGCATAGGGGAAAGACTAGAGAATCTTTAGGTCCCTGGATTTGCCTTAGATTATTGGTTCTTAAAGTATGGTACCCCGACAGCAGACATCACCTGGGACTTCTTAGAAATGCAAAATCTCAACCCCCATCCAGACCTAAATCAGAAAGTCTGCTGGTGGGGTCCAGGAATCCACGGTGTATCCAGCTAGCCAGGTGATTGCAATGTAAGCTAAGGTTTGAGAAAACAGCCTTAGATCAAGTCTCCAGCAAAAAGGAAAAAAGGGGGAAGAGGAAAATGGTCTTTAAATCCTTATCCAGCCCAGCCCAATTTACCAGGAAAAGAAGCTGGCTAGGTATTCGGAACTAAAGCTTGGGTAAGAAAGACAGTCCATTTGTCTAGAATGCACGCTTTTCTCAGGAAGTCCATGGACAACCAAGCCTATGGAGACTCTGAAGGCCAGTACTTGCTTTCCATCCAAGACCAAGAGTAGATACTGAGAGCCTGAAGTAAATGGTAATTTTCTCAACCATTTTTTTTCAAGCTTCATCCTTAAGAGTTAAGTAAGAAGAAACCAGTTAAGAATGACAGGCAACTTGAAGAAAGTAAATAAAGGGTGACTGAGTCATAACCAAACCCTCAGCCAACACAACATCCCTTTAATCTGCAGTGCAGACTTCACAGTCACTTAAATAACTTCAAGCAGTTACCTCTTTTGGCCCAAACCTTTATGCTCCCTGTTAACTACAAGCTATGAATGCTAATATTTCTCCTAAGAACTCAGGAAAAAATATTGGGTAAGAGTCAACCAGCAAATTCCTTTAAATTTAAGGAACTGCAATTGACAAATGAGCTGAGGAGAAAGATTATGTTAAAACACAAGGATTCTAGAAGAAACGTGCCCTCAGCTGCACTGGAAAGCAGCATCTTCCCTCACCACCTTTCCTTTTACATTCTCCTCTCTGTATTTATCAGAATTGATTCCTTGCCCCCCGGTACTGAGCATTTTGCACATTTCTCTTTTCTTCTCATTCACTAACTTACTGGTTATTTACTTACTGGTTATTTACTCCCCTAAACTTACTGGTTATTATTTAAAGAAACTGGGCCAGGCACCACTCTGTATTTTCATTTAAGCACCTTGTGCTTCCCCCTTTGAAGAACTCACCACCCTACCTGGTAAACAGCTATTTGTTTATCTGTATCATCACTACATGATGACCTCTGTGAAGGCTGGGGCCTTGCTTGCTACTATAGTGTCCAGCATATAGCAGTAAACAATGAATGAATGAATGAATGAATGAATGAATATTTTACTCTGTGGAGGAGCTCCCAACCAACCCCCAAAACAAATCAAGGCAGAAAGGACAATGGACTCTTCTCTTACACAAACACACACTTAATCCTTCCTTCTTTCTTTCCTTCCTTCCTTCCTTCCTTCCTCTCGTCCTCTTTCTCTCTTTCTGACAGAGTCTCTCTCTGTCACCCAGGCTGGAGTGCAGTGACTTCTTCCCTTCCCTTCCCTTCCCTTTCCTTTCCTTCCCTTTCCTTCCCTTTCCTTCCTTCCTTCCTTCATTCCTCTCTTCCTCTCTTTCTGACAGTCTGTCTCTGTCACCCAGGCTGGAGCGCAGTGACTTCTTTCTTTCCCTTCCTTCCCTTCCCTTTCCTTCCCTTTCCTTCCCTTTCTTTCTTCCCTTCCTTCCTTCCTTCCATCCTTCCTTCCTTCATTCTTCTTTCCCTTTCCCCTTTCCTTTCCTTTCCATTCCATTCCATTCCATTCTTTCCTTACTTCTGTCTGTGTCTCTGTCTCTGTCTCTCTCTGGGTGTCTCTCTCTCTTTTTCTTTCTTTCTTTCTTTCTTGAATCTCACTCTGTCACCCAGGGTGGAGTGCAGTGGCACGATCTGGCCTCACTGCAACCTCTGCTTCCTGGGTTCAAGCGATTCTCCTGCCTCAGCCTCCTGAGCTGCTGGGATTACACGTGTGTACCACCACACTCGGATAATTTTTGAGTTTTTAGTAGAGACAGGGTTTCGCCATGTTGGCCAGGCTAGTCTCAAACTCCTGACCTCAGGTGATCCACCTGCCTTTGCCTTCCAAAGTGCTGAGATTACAGGTGTGAGCCACTGTGCCCAGCCCAAATGCACACTTTAGTACCATTTCTGTGTATACCTGCTCCTCTCTCCAGTATCCTGAAATGCTGTTCACAGTGTTTTGTTCTCCACTCATACCCTGCTGCCTGCCTGCTGCAGGCTAAAACCAGGCCTGTAGAATGAGTTTCCATTCTTTACCAAGTTTGACAGCCTCGATTGTGCCTATGAATAATTTCTAGAATAAACATTCCAACCACACCACCTCTATGGCCTGAACCTCTGTTCTCCTTAGACCCTCTCTGATCACTGTCCCTTAGTAAGGGCTGTTCAGATTGGCACCTAGGTCCTCACTGGTGGGGCTTGATCCTGGACATGTCCTCATGAGGTGCGTGATGTTCTTATCCCTAGAGACTGTCTCTTTAGAGGAGACCTCTGGGCAGCCCATAAGGTCCTCCTGTCTCTTATGCCCAGCCCTCTGTACTTTGCCCTTCATTTGCCCTTGGACTGCCTGCCACAATTATCAGGCAAAACATCGCCAACATGAATCATATATGTCAAGAGGGAAATCTCTTTTTAGAAGCCTGATTTTGCCTTATTATTGGACTATTTCAAAGGAAAGATTTTTATTTTATCTTCACTTGAATAAGCTCTCTGAAGGTTGCCTCCGGCGTGAGTATGGAGTAAGCCTGAGGATTGTAAAATGAGACTTCACAAAAATGGGCAAAGTGCTTTGGAAAGGAGCAGGCATAAATTCAAGGACTGGAGGCATTCTTTATTTTAAAACTATTTTCTCATTAAAATAAACATACACACACAACGAGCTCTTCAATTTAATCAAAATTCCTTGTATTTAAAAATTCTCCAAGCTACTTTTATAAATAGATCTTTGCTATTATTATACAGGAGTCATAAGAAGAGGATAAAGCCTAAGACCATGCATATTAGAACTGAGCTCAGACCATAGAAGGAGAAAATAAAACATTCTTCCTCAAGTTTTCAAGCTTAAGGATATCCGAAATCAACAGTCTTCATATGTTCATCCACACAGGGGTACTGCCCCATGATCTGAAAGTAACCTTTAGTCAAAAAAATGTCACCTACATAAATCTCAAATCTCACACAAGGTCATTTATCTCCTTATGCGCCCAAAATTGTTCCACCTGAAGTCCAAAAGCTTAAAGTAAGTACAGAGATGGAACTAATAAAATAGAGATAGTGAGAAAAAAATCACATGGAATTCGAGGTTTGGGGAGGTTGATTTAATTTTTTTATACATGCACATTATTTTCAAAATCTCTAAACCTTTCTTCCTCTTTGTCTTTTTTATGCACAAAAATACATCCAGTCTGAAAGGAAAAGGAAATAAAATCCTTAATCTCAGTTAACTTATATTAAAAGTGTCACCTTTTCAGGCCCCTCCTCCTCAGGTTTGGCATTACTAATTAACTATTACTTAAAATAATGGGAAATTTACTGTGCAAATTGGTTTATGTAAGTGAGGCTGCACATTAAAACTAGGTGTAAATATTAGATGCTGTCTTTGGCTTTTTCTGATAGACCAGCAGGGAGAGTGGAATTGAGTCTATTTCATTCACATCAGAAATACCAGCAATAACATTCACACAACTTGAAATAAATCTAATGTGACATTGGAAAAGTGAATCAGAAAAATACAAAGTTTATAGTTTTATAAGTAAATTAACCATTTTTAAAAATGAGTCTGCCTTTGATTATATATTACACTATTTCCACAATTAATATTAAATTAATATGAGCTATATAGCATGCTGGAATGGAAAGAGAAGGGCAATCGGAGATGGAAGACCTACATTCCAGCCCCAGCTCTGTCCCAACTAGGTGTGTGACCTTGAGGAAGCCCCTTAACCCTCTGAGTCTTAGTATCCTTGTCTGTAAAATACAGATCCTGAAACTGTAATTTATCTGATGTTTTCTTAGCTTATATTAGTTTTATCTCTGTGATGCCTTCTTAGTTTACATTAATAAACATTTGATTAAACATTATTTGAGCTCCTATGAAATATAAATGTTATTTAATAACCATATATATCCTTCCTGAAATACATTTCCAAAAATGAAAAAATGAAAGCCACA
Organism: Homo sapiens; assembly: GCF_000001405.40. Taxonomy (NCBI): domain Eukaryota; kingdom Metazoa; phylum Chordata; class Mammalia; order Primates; family Hominidae; genus Homo; species Homo sapiens. The sequence continues at coordinate 9,290,729 of NC_000020.11, read as the reverse complement.
TTCAGATGGGCCAAGCAAGATTTAAAACAATGCATTACTATTGTGTCTTGAAGAGTAACTGACAGAGTAATGACATAGTGGCATTTCTAGAACAACTCTTCAGTATCAAAGCACACTTTCAAGATGCCAAATCCTTGTCCAATTCTTGTAAGGTCAACAGTCTTCAAATAATTGTCCCTTTCATAAGATGGGTGCTTTTATTGCATTATTTTAAAACATGTTTGCTTCCATTGCTTATATAGAAACTGAAAAACATCCCTCACTCTAACAAGGCCCAGAGGCAATAGAAAGGATATCAAAGGTCAGAGAGTTGGATGTGAAGCGATTCCAAAGAGTTCACATGGTGTTTCATTTTAGCAAATTTCTTTAACTTCTAATTCAAACCATATCCGCAGGCTGGGGAAAAAGAGAGAGAAAATGGAGCTTCTTTAACTAAGTTCCCTGCCCCTTGTTAGACAAATCCTTGGTTTTCCCAAGTGTCGGTACTAATGAACAGTTACAAAAATTGCTTTGGTCCTTGTGTCTGCAATCAATTAGTTTTTTTTTTTTGGTTTTTTTTTTCTGAAAGGATAAAGTTTGATCCAGCATATTCTAAAATGCTACAAGACTGCCAGCAAGTTTCAAAGACACATCAGAGAGAACTCAACGGCCTGACCTGGAGACCAGGAGGATGACATTCTCATTAGGCAAGAGATGCTGGACCTTCTGCAGTAATGAGAAATGAAAGTCACCACTCTGCTCTAAAAGCAGGGGCTATTTACCCCTGACCTGACACACTTCTCAAAGCTCTCACAATAAAGGCACCCAGCATCCACTTACTGTTTCACCATTTACCAAGTATTTTTACATACTCTTTTGAAGTTATATACTCTCTTGAAGTTAGAAATCTTAACACAACTGGAAAAATGTGGAAAGTAAAGCTCAGAAAGCTTAGAATCCCTCAAATATGGTAGAACTATTAATAGAACTTAACAAACCTTTTGACCGAACACCCTCATTGTCTGACCTTGGTTCTCATGACGAAAGTTCCTTAATTTCAAGTAAAAAAACACTCTAAAGATATGGCCTCCAACCAAAATGAGGGAAACTCATCCTTTCCTGGGACTGTATTTAAGCTGCTTTAATAAGAGGTAGTTTAATAAAAAATAAGGATTGCTTCAATAAAGGAGATGTCCACATTACTATCAGTTTCCAATTTTCCACTTTGAAATGACCTGAGGACAGAGATCCTGGTAACCTCAGCATCAACATCAGTAAATATTTTATATTATCCAAAAAAAACCCGAATAATTTCAAGTTTCTTTTATTTTTTTATTCCCTTATAAAATCATTATTCACTTTAAATAGATCACTGTGTCTTTAAATCCTGGCTTTGTTTGTAGAGTGTTCCAAATATGATAGAGAAAACTTAGTTTTATAAAAACATCACAATCTAGCCACTTAGGCCATGACATTAATTGGTCTACAATGCTATTTGGGGAATATTTATAGGGAGTATTTTAATAAAATCAATGTTGCTGCCTATATTTAATACTGGTGAAATCACAAGTGTGATTAAGCCATTGTATATATATTTTTATTTCTATTCTGCCATATTTGAAACCAACCCCCAAGGTAAGACAGGAAAAGAGATAAGATTCAAGTATGACAATTGCATGGATAATAAGTTAAATTGAGTTTTGGGGATAAAATATCTACTGTCACTAAATTAATTATTGTGCCCTGAAGTTGTACAGAGAAGAAGACTTATAATTAAGGTATATTTTGGCCATCTATGTTATACCTTCCCATGGCCAATTTTTGTGAAAAAAGGAAAAAAGACTTTGCTGGATACCCTCATTTCCTAACTGTCAACTCACTGTAAATGTCTTAAAATATGGAATCTAGCATATATGTTCTGTTCAAAATATGCCTTTTTGAGTAGCTGAAACTTTTGGTCTTTAAGCTCAATGTTCTTATGTTGATCCTGATCTTTCTTAACCTTTCCAGAATGTAACTCCTACCTTCAGCCTGATCCTCTTTCCACATGTGGCCATCCCTCCACCTCCTCTGTCCTTTATCCTTTTTGGCTCTCAGTATTCTCCCTCCCAGGGCAATCCTATGGTATCACTCTTCTCCTCACCCTTCCAAAACTCCACTCCCTCGTTTTCAGCAGCCTCCTAAGACATCTCCACCAGTGCTCCCTCCAGTATTCCAGATGTCCAAATATGTCCTGAGATGGGCTCACTGCTACAAAAGGACTGCTTTGAAGAATAAGACAAATTATCAAGATTGATGTAAAAGTGAGCAATGCAAAGATCGTAGAAGTTAAAAAAAAAAAAAAGCAACTACAGGACAAAGGAAAAAGGCCTTTTTATGTGAAAAACATCTGAACTTTTGGTGAACTCCAACCTTAATAAGCTAATGGTGAAGAGGTACTTGTTGAAACCTTAACGCAGTCTTAGGGAGGTCACTGATAAAGGGCTATAATAAAATTAGTGAACTTTCAGATCCTAACATTGCTTACAGTATTTTGTACATTTCTGTGCCACAATTTTAAGAACCATATCAACAAAATACAAGAATGTTGAAGAATATGAAAGTTATAACATTTAAGCAACAGTCGATAAAAGATAATCCTAGGGATTTCAGACTTAATCTGAGCTCTTCCTGTAATAGAGTGGGAACATAGGCCAAGAAACCTCAGGTGAGCTTGGCAAGGTGCCACAATCCTGCTGGTGGAGCTGCAATAGAACCACATCCTTGAACTGCCAGTCCAAAACCCAATCTCACTGGTGCAAAAGGAAAACATGCCTTTGAAAAATTCTGTCTGTTCTCTAGTTTAAAAATATGGAAATTACTGTTGTTTGCCTTAAGGAAAAGAAAAACATAAGAGATCTGAAGAAATGAGATATAAGATTAAGCCATGAAATGCAGATAAATCATGCATATTCTCTTTCAAGAAAGTTCCCATCTCTTCTGCAGTTTATAGAACAAAGTAATTTTATTAAGGTTTTATGGAAAGGTCACTATTGCATTTCTGTAATATTAAAATCTATCTTAGCATACAGAAATCCCTCATGAGCCTGAAATATTAGTTCAAGACTAAGTTTATTAAGGTTTTGGCATGACTCGATATTAACTTTCTCAAAATATTACAACCATTTTCAAATCAGATAAGCAGTGGGATATAAAACTGTGGCTCATAAAAATAAAATCAAGAAAATGGAATCATTGCTTATTAGTTCTTAGAGATTAACTCTATACTTTAAAATTGTGAGGGAGCTTATCAAAACAGTTCATTCTGTATTGATACCTTCATTTCACAAAAGAATCAGACAGAAACATGGTTAAGGTCTTTGTAGCACATATCAAAGTAAACTGATATTTTAAGAGAAATTCAGTTCAAGTGCCAGTAATAACTTTAGTTATCTTCATAATCCCTTCTGTTTCCTAATACTTTCATCCATGAGTTGAGTGATGATTAAACAGAGAAATGCCTGGTATGTCAGTACTTGAGGCAGCTGAGTCTGATACCTGAAGTTTTCTAACTCATATATTCCAGAAAAGGTATAAAGTTTATCTGACAGAATCAGATAGCAGACACCTGTTATTTGGCAATGTATGAATTTATTGTCATGATTTTTTTTAAAATAAAATGTACATTGTTAACAAACATGCTGAAAAATTATGATGCTCCCTGGTGAGGAAAAAACAAACAAACAAAAAAACACTACCTGAAATTCACAGAGCACCCACTATCTCAAAACATCACTCATAAATATGGTATTCTTTGACTCACAGACTAGAGACCTGGCAAGAGATTGAAGAAGTTGTTTGGCTCACAGCCAGGTGTCCAGGAAGGTGACCATGGAAGCCTTTCTGGTTATTTGACCATACAGATCCTAGGGGATGGAAAGTCTATACAAAGATACTGATGGCGCTTCAAAATTCCCCTACCAGATCTCAGGACTCTTTCGTTCATTAGTTCTCTGTAGACTTCAGCAGTTGATTAGAATCCTCTATCCATGAGGTCATGACTCAGAATGACCTCACTGGCGTGGTCTTAAAATAACTGTGAATCCCACTGTATGTTGTGGTTATATTTGAACCTAGATGTAGTACCTCAAGATACATTCTTAGTTCTCTGCAGAGTACTATGTCACATTCTTAAGCTTAAGTGATTGGCCACACAACTGGCATTTTCTCTCTTGGCCTCATGGAATAAAACACTGGTCCTGAACTATTCTTGACAATGGGACAAAAGGCTTTAGGCCTGAAGAAATAGATGTAAACATTGAAGTAAAACCAGAAGCCAGAGAACCTTCCCTAATTATTACCTTCCAAACCTAAATCTGTCTCTTCCACTATACCCATAACCACCTCCTCATATGATAAACACATACTTCTTCAGCAAAACTTTTACAAAGAAGTATGAAGGTTTATGGGTGGAGATATATCCCAAATGTGTTCATTATATTTTAGCCTATTTGATTATTGATAAACTACCTAATTGTAGGCATCTATGTCCAAGAATTTAAAAGTAGATGGAAAAACCCCTAAAACTCCTAAACTCCAGGCTAATTTCAAATACCCACCAACACACATACTTACACAAGATAACTCACATTTTCATGAGACACATGGATTCCTTTTAATGGTAAAGTGCACTCCATGTGAAAAGAACCAATTTTAAGACCTGCTTCAACCAATTACTGTGAAGCTGAAAGAGAATCCCACAAACTATATTTCAAGGAGTTTCCCCATCTGAAAACAGACATGCCTATAATGTCACTTTGCAGGAGGCTCCCAAGATAGAAAAGATGATGTCTACGCATTTATGGCATTGTTCTATTTCACAATAGACATGGACACTATTTTCACTGCTGTACAGCATTCTAACCCCTGCAAGCGAATGCTGGCCTTGACCCTGGTCTGGCTGTTCACTTGCTACCTGGAGCCATATTTACTCTGGTCTTGTTTACCAGACAGTAGAATGCTCCATCAAGCTTTTCTAGGATCTAAAACAACTTTTTTGCTTATTTTGTTTATGGCCCCAAAGCATGCAATTGTTGATCATGTTATTTGCAAAGTTTTCTCCAGGAGAACTCTTTACTGGGTCACACAGAGTAGCAAATATCCTCTGTAATGTTTATTTACTTTCCTGAGAAAGAAGAACCTCAGAAAGCAGGTCTATATTGCAGTAATAAATAGGCTTGTACCCAAGCATATCAATTTATCATAAAAGAGGGCCAAGATTTCCTATGAATTCTACTATGAGGAGAACTATACTATGCTAAAAAGAACTTAGTAAGTCAGGCTTTATTTAGTAAATCAGCCTTTATTTACTAAAGGCCACAGAAAGTAAAAATGATAATTTAATTTTTTCTTTGACTAAACAATGCACACCACAGCCCAGTATTAGTCACATGAAACCAATAAGTTGGCTCTAATCAAATTATCTTGAAAATAAACAAATGTGTTCATAACAAGGCTGGTTTGCCCTGGTTAAAATAATGCCATTATAAACTGACTATAATTACATTTTTAAAATGCTAAAAATTTCTAAATTGTTTACATTTATTATAATATGTTACTTTTGTAACAAATTTAAAAAAAAAAAACATTCCTAGCACACTTACACAGAAAGTTCCTTGTTTTTTGATGGTTTTCTTTGCAGAAAATGAGTTTGTAAAAATAACATATCTTCATGCAGGATGTTTTATCATGCTGAAAGTGAATGTTCTCCCCTCCCCTGGGCATCCTCTCATTTATAGTCCTGTGACATCAAGGCCATTGCAATTTAAATAACTGCTTTTTCATTTATAACATATAATGAGTTGGGTTTTGTTGAAACAACTTAAGCAGAGCTCTAGACCTGGTTTAAAAACTAATCTTTTTGAGAACCTAAATTATAATAAAGCACTACATAAATATGGGACATGTTTTTTTAAACGATTATATCTGGTAAAATGGCAAGAATTACCAGCAAACACTATATAGTCTATTTATCTCTGATCTATTTATCTATTTCCTGTGGAAGAAGGTATTTCTATACATGTCATAGATACTGATGATTAGCAAACACAGAGCCAATCTTGGAAGTAGATTTTTCACAGGGGGGACCAAGGTGAGAAATCCACTTAATGTTGGAGGACAGGGACGAAAAAGATCATACATTTCCCTCTCCCCCAACTCTTTCTTCAAACCCATGTAATTCTCCATACCTTTGGTTCTTTACCCTTTCTTCATAAGGCTCCTCATCTCCCTTGGGATACAAGCCAATCTATACAACACGCTGTAAGACCTTACATAATCTAGCCTTATATCTCTCTCCATTCATCTCCTATTCCTTTCCCATGCTCACTTGACTCTAACCACATGGACTTCCTCCTGTACCTCATAGAGGCCACTTGCAATTCTGCCTCAGGGCCTTTGCATTTACCATTACCTCAGTTTAGACCATTCTTCCCTAAATATCGGCATGGCTCACTGCCTGCAGATCATAGTATAAATGTCACCATATCTAAGATGCTTTTCCTGGCCACTCAGAACAAAATGGCATCTCACCACCACCAGGATCTCTCTTTCTTGTTACCTCCTAGATTTTTCTACGTAACACACATCAACAACTTCATCTCTGATCCTTTATATATCTTGTTTGTGTTTTCCTCTACCAGAGTAGTGACTACATATATTTTGTTTTCTGCTGTGTCTCTGTCACACAAATATATGGGCCACGTAGTGGGTGCTCAATATAGACCTGTATAGAATGAATGAATGTGTCCCTCTTCTGACTTTTCTCAATGAAGGAATTAACAGAGGAATCCATACATGACAGTGGCCTTAAGTGTTGGTGACTCAGGGATAGAAAACAATTAAATGGAACATTAAAAAATATAATAGAAAGGGAATAAAGTAGGGCATTAGGGTTAAATATAGCCTCCTCCTTCTTTATCAAGGGATGATTTATTATTTCACTGTGTCCCTGCTAGACTAGATACTACACAGAATTCAATAGTGGATAAGACACAGACTCTATCCTAACAAACTCAAATCCAGCAGAGTAGGTAGACTATTCAACATAAGCAAAATAATATTTTACAGGAATTTAGAACCAGGAGAGATAACCCCTGCCCAGGAGAGAAAAGGGTAGAAAGGCCTCCTGGAGAAAGCTTCTGAGCTAGGCCATAAAGGATAAGAATTCTTATGTGAAATGCAACATGTAATGTTCGAGACTATAAATGATCAGCAGCAAGACAGCATCTTGCTTCTGAAACTTTAAAGTACTTCATAAAACCGTCCCCCAAACCCCACCTATTAGAAGATCAGCCTTCAGACACCTAAGAGTTGAAGGTGGAAATTCATGGTGTCTTTGAATATGGCTAACTCTGAAAGGCCTCAATGGATTTTGTCAAGGGAAAATAAGTGAAATAGAACTTTGTCATGTGAGACAAATGTAATACATAGAGGGCTTTATTTATTTGTCATCCTCCTTTGCATGCAGCCTCAGCTGGGGGCAGGGGTAGAAGGAGGAGCATGTATATGACTAGTTCAGGCCAATGGTTTCTGCCTGAAGATAAAGTGTGTCCCTTCTGGGGGGATATATTTACCACTCCTTCTCCAGGCATGGTAGACCATTTCCATGACCAGAAAGTCTTCCCCTCCCTTGATCACACTCCTTTGTAATATGACTACACAGCTTCTCCCATCAAGATATGAAGACTTTCGTTCCACATGGATACTGAAAATGGGTTTTAGACATGTGACTTGCTTTGAAACAAATCAGAGGCATGAAAAGTACTTGTACATTGGGGTTTCCTTCTTGTTCTCTTTGAAACCCTGAGATTATCATGTTTAAAAGGTTAAGACAATCTACTGGAAGATGAGAGGCCACATAGAAGTCTCAGTCAATCCAGTCCTCCTGGCTGAGGCCCCAAATAAAGTGAGTGAGGCCATCCTAGGTTATCCAACCTGAGCCAAGCCAGCCATGGCCAGAAAAACCACTCAACAAATACAGAGAACTGTGAGAAATAAAACATGATTTAAAAAATTCTGCAAAATTTGAGGGTGGTTTGTTACACAACAAAAGCTAACCTATATACCTGCTAAAATAGGCTGAATCGGATGACAGATCTCTGTGAGGCTCTAGTGAGTAAGTGGGCACTGTGATTGTGTTATATAAATGATATTATTGAAGAGTATTAAGGAGATACAGGGAAGAAGAGAGGAAATCCAAAATAAAAAGGCAGGGAGAGGAAGCAATTAGAAACTTGCAAAGCAGTCCAGGGTGTGAGTATGGGGGTATAATAAAATTAAAGCAAACCATCTGTGACTCTGAAGTACATAAAACTGTAACATCACTTTTCTGGATGACATGAATTATTGTGAACACAAATACGTCAACCTTATTGTGAGCAACCTGACAGAGAAATGTTTATATCCTATTTTTCTCTGAATCTCTCCTACCTACTTTTCTAAAGCCTATACCTAGAAGACAGACTGGTACTATCACAGATGATTAGAGAATCTTTGATGAAGAAGTGAATAACTGAATGAGGAAAGGAATGCCTTGGTCATCATGCCCTGTGATAACAAAGTTGTGTGTCTACATTTTGTTCTATATCTCTTTTGATGCCGGGCTTTGCTTTCTCCCAAACTGTTCCTGTTTATAGCTCCTACTGTCTTCAGAGGAAGGAACAAGGGAAAGATTATGTGATATATAAGAATCAGTAGGCTCTGAGTGAGGGCAGCTGGATTTTATAATAGCATTTTATAGCAGGATCTGTATACTAGCCATGTACAACATTTGGCTGTATTTTTCACTTCTGGATGTTTTACTTTTTGTTTAACTTGGATGGCTGATATTATTAGTAAGTTGATATCTAGATAAATAAAGTAGTCATGGAATATTTATTGAAATTTTAGAGTGTGTTTAATTCTTCAATGCCAATTTTTTTTCAATTAAACTAAATAAGAAGGAAAGGTATCAGCCATCTAACCACAGACAATTTTCCAGGGTACCTAAAATATAACGTATTCCCAATTTAATTTTGCAAAATCATTCAGCTCCACATTTCAAACTAAATACAAACTATCATTTTAAATATAAAACCTACATGTTTTAGCAGTTTTAGGTAATAAAATGTTATATGATAAACCTAAGATTAAAACATTTTAGCATAGAATTGTGTTATACCTATTTTGCTTTACAGTTCAGTTGAATTACTTTGAAACTCTGATTTGGAGTGTTTTCATTCCATCATTTTAACCTAATATACCATGACTTATTTTAAATATTTTAATATGCCTAGCCTACAGACCTGGCTCATTGTAAGAAAAATATTGTTCCAAAATTTTATTTTACATGCATAATATCACTTGCTAATTAACAGATTATTAATAGCAACATTTTAAAGTGATTAAACTACTTCTAATACTGCATTCTAAAATGTTCTTTCACATTGAATCTGTATAGAGACTTTATGTGATGGTCCTATTATTGTGTCTGTTTTGCAGATAGGGAAATTAAGCCCTCAAGCAATTAAATCACTTTCCAAAGTCACAAAGATACTAAATGGTGAAGCCAATATTTGAATAAGGTAGCCTCATCCCAGGGTTAGTATACTTAACTGTTAAGAAATTCTGCTCTCTCTCAAAAATTTAATAGAACGATTCTTTGAAAAAGTGAAGTTCCTAAGAAAGTTTGAAGCATGATTTAATATGGGAAACTAATTTCAGAGAAACTTTCAAAACAGTATTTATTACATAAATGTGGTATACCTCTTTTTTTTTTTTTTTGTAGCAGATGTTTCTTTGCCCTAAGCTAAGAGTCTCCTTCCTGTCTCCTTCCTTTGCTGAACTATAATACAAATATGCCTCCAGGCACTGTTATTATGAACACATGTTCGGCATACAGAACCACATTTCTGATACACTACTTTCTGCTGGGATTTATGCTGGATTTAATAGCTGGATTTACTTCAGCATGCTCAGTAAGGACCGTATCTCCCTCCAATTCAGTATTTCCTCACCGAGTGAAATTTCACAAAGAAAAGACGCGACCAAAGACAAGAAGAGCTGATGCAAAGCAGGCTAGGTTCATAGTACAAAATCAATAAGTCACAAACATAGGTGTTTGGCAACACTAAAAATCCAAGCAAGGCAGGCATCAGTTTTCTTGCCATTTTTCTTCCTAAGGAGAATGCTTTCCTGTTTGCTAACTTCAACTAATGGGATGAGAAACCCAGTGAAATTAGGACAGAGACACCCACCTCCTTTTTTTCCCTTCCCTTCTCCCCTGCCATTCCATCTTTCAGATCGAAGTGGAGAACACAATATCTTTGTCCTTTGATAGGTCTTCCTGCCTTCTCTTCCCAACTTGGAAATCCAATGTGAAGAGCCAGTGTTTTGAAACTTTACCCACAATCAAAATTCCGCAGGAAATGGGAGGAGTACCAAAGGGCTTAGAAATTCAATGGATCTCCTTTCCAGAGGCCAGAAGGTCAGTGGCCCACTCAGATTAAACTTCTCAGGGGATATGACCTAAGCACCTTATTAATCTCTATTCCTAGAAACCCCACAGCCCCTCTTCTAGTCAGAAGGCAGCTTTTTATGCAACAGTCTTTTGGCTTCTAGCAACTGAACAAGTCAGTCCCCATCTTGGCTTATTACAAGTGCCTTGGCTTTACCATTTGTGAAATACAAAAAGGGTTGGCTGGCCAACAGCTAGTCTGTTCATAGCAATGGAAAACATGAAACACCCTAAACTCCAGCAATAGGGTGGGGTAAAGTCAACTATGACAAAGCCAAACGGCTAAACAGTATAAGGCCATTAAATGTGACGATTCCAAAGAGATTTTCATAACGTGGGTAGGTGCTGGTAGTATTATTTTAAATGAAAAGGCAGAATGCAATACATTATTTCAACTACTCAAAAAGAGGCACAGAAACAAAATGCAAAAGACTTGAAGGAAAATACTCAAACGTTAGCCAGTGGTTTCACTGGAGTGAAGGTCAGCATTTTTTTCCTTTTTCAACTTTTATGTACGGTCTAATTTTTAAAATATCTTACTTGGATTTAAAAAATAATCTTCAAGGAAGATTAAAATGATGATGAACTCTTTGGAAGTAAGTCAATTATTGATACCTATAAAATATCTTTCATATCTCAAATTTGAGCTGAATTTCCTGCTAGTCACTCTTCTATTTTCCCTATTGTTCTCTCTGGCTAAAATGAATCTTCTATTCCTACCTATCTCCCCATCTTCCAATCCTGTCTGTCCTTTGATGTCTGGCTCAAATGTCATTTCCCCCCCTTCACGTTTTCTCTAATTCTCTCTTCCTTTAAATCCCAAGTACTTTATACATACCTCTCCAAGGCAATGAACATTTCTATCTAGCACTCTAATTATTTCAAGCTCATGTCCAAGTCTGAAAGAAGTTTCAGCTGCATGAGAAACTGAATTCAACTTTTACACTCTGCATAATACCTTGCACATAGGAAGCATTCAATGAACTCACAGATAAAGGAATACACAAAAGGAATACATTGGCAAGCAAACTGTTTAATTTTAGGTTTAACTTTGTAATCTGTCCTTAGAAATGTTCCTATTCTTTAACCAAATAACATACTCCAAATTTTTCCCACAGTTTCATAAAGTTATTAGCATCTTGCTTAATTGAGGCCATCCAACATACAACGTATCTGTCTTACCTAGATGTAACCATCCAAGAAAGGAAATACAGTAAAGCTTGTATTTAAACAAACAAACAAACAAAAACTCAGTGGGGAACTCCATGAGGGCAGGACCTGTGAATCTTTCATTTTTGTGTTCTCCTGGCACATGGTAACTTCTCAATGCGTACTTATTAAACAAGTGAAGAGAAATGAATGAATAAATGAACAGGCCTTGTGTGAGTGAGACAACCTGCCCTAGTCATGGCCTGTATGGACCACGTCCATTCTATGTGTCGGCTGCCATCATGTACTCACAGTGATTGCTACTTTCGAGGACCCTGGAAGTCCAGCGCTCATATCTGCTCGTTGTGAGATCCAATGCAGCTCCCTCAAACTGTAAACTGAAGGTTATGATATCTATGTGAAGAGTCCTTTTTAGGGTAATATCAGATGAAACCCATGCATAGGGCCCAGCATCTAGTAAAGCATGCCATGAGTTGTCATGAGAGAGCTCGCTGGAGTAACCATGGATAAATTAATAAGCAAACATTTTTGTTCAAACCTTTTTCTAAAATTTAATTTTGGAACTTTGTAAAGATATTTTCTGTGCTTCTCTTGAGTAGAAGTACCTGAAAATGTAGATTAACACAGTTCCTGGATGTCCCATCTAAGCAATGTACACTCTTATATGCAGTGCTGTTCTTATAAATCAAATCTGGTCTGGAAACCTTGCCAATAGAACATCAATACTAACTCTTTTCCAACTGGACTGTCGTGAAATACACTAGCATAAAAATGGCAAACCCTTTCCTGATTTACAGAGCATTTCAATTTGTAGTAGAAGGTTACTGACATGTATTAAAGTCTTGCAGTTCACAAGCCACCTCTTCCCTATCCACCAAGTATTGATAAGCACACAGCTGTAACTGGGAGAGTCCGTGCAACTGGAATTCTGTTTGCTCTGAACTTAAGCAAGCTTCTGTTCTCTGTGTTCATATCTCTAAGAAAGCAACATGAAAACATTCACTCTGGGTGGCTTGTGAGATTTAATTGAATACAAATAGCATAAAGTTACCTTCTAAGGCAATGTTGTTGTGGCTGCACTTGGTCTTATACTAAAACCGAGGTACTGTTCCTAATTTGTTTATTCTAAGGGAAATCACAGACACAGGGCAAAATGATCAAGTGAACAAAACTTGCAAAAAACAGTTTCATTTTATTGTTTCAAAACAGGAGTGCCTGGTCTGTGTGCCCCTTGAGCTGTGGGCTTCAGGCTGAATTCCTCCTAGATAGGAAAGCTGTCTATGGCCTTCTGTCACAGTACTTGGGTACCCTCGGTCATTATGTCCCTTCTCTCCTCCCTTCCAGTGACTGAGCTCTAAAGCAAATTATCATCATGAGACTCACAAGGATACTGGTCTCACCAGAAGGAAGACCCTCCCTGACACTTATCAACTATTAAGACTCTAACCAGCAGTTACCGTTTTGTAACTGTGGTGCAAGGTTAACAGCTAATAAACTGGTAATTAGACTACTGCAGGAAATCTGGCATTGGAGGTCAGATGGCTTGATACTGTGCATCTTTAATCTGGCTTTGCCCTACCCATATACCCAAGCAGGAAAGCTGCATGAGCTGAGGCTCTAAGAACTCAGTAATCTTATGTTCTCAGGGAAAGAAACAAAGCTGTTCTTTTTAGAAAATCAAATCATCATCCACAAATCAAAACAGCAAAGTTCGCTTTTCCTCTGTTTTGTTCAGGCCTGTTTGGCTTATCTATGGAAACAGCTCATGCTTTTCAAAAAATGGGCTGAGCGGTCTTTCAATATTATGTTGCTAAGTAGTCCTTTCTAGGTTAAACATGTTTACTCTTCAAAAAGGCTGAAATTTTACTCCAGTGGTTATACCCTGTAGCTAACATGCAGTGAATCCACTTCTCCCACACGGAAGGAAGATGACAGTCACATAGCGGCAGTAGGTGGAGAAGCTGGCTTCCAGGAACCTGGTCCAGGGCTTCCCAGACTTTACTGTGCATCCAGATTACCTGGGGGCCCCATTAAAATGACCAGTCTGATTCAGCAGTTATGGGGTAGGGACAAAAATTGCACATTTCTATTTCTTTTTCTTTTTCTTTTAGAGACAAGATCTTGCTCTGTCACCCAGGCTGGAGTGCAGGATTACAATCATCACTCACTGCAGCCTGAAACTGGGTTCAAGCGATCCTCCCACCTCAGCCTCCCAAGTATGAAACTGCAGGTTTCTAAGTAGCTCCCTGGTGATCTCAGTGCTGCTGGTCCATGGGCCATATTTTGAGTAGAACAGAATAGCTGGGATTTGAATCTTCATTTCTGGAATTGCTTCTTATCAAAGGACTAGACTGTGGCTGTGAGCTAGAGGCAGAAATGACATGTGTGGTATGATGGGAAGAAAGAGCAGGGACTAGGAATGGCACAGAACAAGCCATGTGACCTTGGACAAATCCCTGGATCTCAATTCACTGCTTTGCAAATGAAATAAATAACCCCCTCTCACAAAGCCTGAAAGAATAAAACATATAAAAATGTACCCAGAGGCTTGATTCTAATAGCGGCTTATGACCTACTATTTCCTGAAAACTCAGTAAAATCCAGGTATTCCTCCCCGTCTGAGACTCACATCTGGCTCCTCTTCTCAGGCCCCCACACCTGAGTCCTGGCCCATGAAATGTGATTGGAAGTAGCTGTATCGCATCTGGGCATGGCCCATAAAATATCCTCCCAGGAACATCCCTTCCTCTTGGTGATTTCGTCCTTCTAGCTACATTGACTCCAGGGTGAATTTGGCAGCTACGTGCTAAAAATGACAGAGCTCTCATCAGCCTGGATTCCTGAATAAACGAAAACATGTGGCAGTTGCATCAACCCCTTCACCTGCCCAGTATTGTTATATGAGCAAAGATAAATATTTTCAAGCCATTACATGTTTGTGGTCCTCTTTGTTACAGCAGCTAGCCTACCTAGGTGACACATTTGCCATCCGTTTCCTTTCCTCCTCACCTTCCCACTCCCTACTGTGCTCTCCCCTGAAACAGCTCCACATGCATCCTAAACTGCAGTGTATGGTTAAAAGTATAAGCTCTGAAATCAGAACAGCTAGGTCCAAATTCACCTCCAACCTTTCCTTGTACAGCACTGGACAAGTATGGTCAATAAGTTTCCTATCCTTACTTTTGTCATCTGTGGAAAAAGAAGGATTGTATCATTGCACATCTTTTGAGAAGGTCATGAGATAATGCATGTAATGGAGTTGGCACGTCACTTGGACAAAATAAGCACTCCAAAAACAAGCAGCTATCAACAGCTCCCTGGTGATCTCAATGCTGCTGGTCCATGGGCCATATTTTCAGTAGAACAGAATTAGTTGGGATTTGAATCTTCATTTCTGGAATTGCTCCCTATCAAAAAATTAGACTGTGGCCGTGAGCTAGAGGCAGGAATGACATGTGTGGTATGAAAGTAAGAAAGAGCAGGGCCTAGGAATGGCACAGAACAAGGCTGGAGTTCTGGCTCTACCATTTAACAGCCACATGACCTTGTGCAATAATAGCGTCCCATTTGATAATATGCCACTTGTTTCCTCCCCACCAGGTAATGCTGTTTCATAAATGATATGGTTTGGCTGTGTCCCCACCCAAATCTCAACTTGAATTGTATTTCCCAGAATTCCCACATGTTGTGGGAGGGACCCAGTGGGAGGTAACTGAATCATGGGAGTCAGTCTTTCCCATGCTATTCTTGTGATACTGAATAAGTCTTGCGAGATCTGATGGGTTTATCAGGGGTTTATGCTTTTGCTTCCTCATTCTCTCTTGCTGCTTCCATGTAAGAAGTGCCTTGTGCCCTCCGCCATGATTGTGAGACCTCCCCATCCATGTGGAACTGTAAGTCAAATTAAACCTCCTTTTCTTCCCAGACTCGGGTATGTTTTTATCAGCAGCATGAAAACGGGCTAATACAATAAGAAATATCATAAATCATTGTTCATATGGTGGTTGAAACAGTATTTCCTTCTATATGGTAAAATTCTAAAGAGTCTCTATTACATTCAAAGAGTTCTGAATTGGAAAGATTTTTTCAAGTATCTTAAGCATGGTTATATTTTTCTTACACTTGAATGACAATTACAAAATGAAAAGGGACAAAGAGGAAAGGGGCCAAATAATTAGTATAGATTTTAAACATTTTAAACAAGGTAGGAATTTTACTACTTGAAAACCTGTACTGTACAGAAAAAGCAAGACTGTCATATAATAAGGGATACTTGTATCTTTATCTGCTCTCTAGAACCATAGAGAAAACCTATCAGCAGATGGAAATTCTCAAGAGAAACACAGTTTCTGATGCTCAGAAACAAAGAGTAGAGGCAAAGCACAAGGCATGGTTTTCGTAGGACAGAAGATATTTTCCTCTTTAACCCTATGTGGGATATTTAAGAATAGAATTTGCCATTATAAAAATGCATTGTCCAAGGCTGATGGAAATAACTTTGCTGTTCCCAAACATGTGTTTACATGTGCAAATAAAATAGGGTCAGAATCTGATAATTTGGGGGGTAAAAGTCAGATTCAGTCTTAATATCTAAGGAGTATGGTGCCCATTAAGATACTGAAGACAAGCATAATTTCTCTCATCCTGCATTGCCCTCTCTTTTTTACGGCAACTTAAAGGGATTGGTATTGCAATTTTTAAGAGATGACATACAAGAAAGTTTACTGAAAGTATTCGCCACCACAAGTAGTGTAAACTCAAGAAACTATAGCATTAGAAAGGAAAGTCAAATGGACCAGGAGTCCATAAAAAATCAGGTACATCTGTTTCTTTAACATTTAATGTGCCTTTTCCTTTCTAAAGAAAAATGAACTGTAAGAACAATGAAAAACTGGCCTGGAGCAAGAACTGTGGAATTCAATTTTTTTTTCTTTGAAATACTCTAAATGTGACTCTTCTGTCTAATTCTTCTCTCCTATCCAGCCAATCAGTTACGAAGTCCTGCTGGATTCTACTCCCTGGATCTCTCTGGCATCTGCCCCGTCTTCCCCTGACTCTAGTTTTGTATTAATCCGTCCTTTCCTGGGCTGCTGCAAAGCTTCCTAGTTAATATCCTGCCAGCAGTCTTCCTCCTGTTCTTTCTTTCATTGTCTACACAGAAGCCCAACTAACTTTTCTAAAAATGTAAGTTTTATCATGTTACCTGATTAAAGCCCTTCAGTGGCTCACAACAATACACAAGATAAAAACCCACATTTAGTAATAACATGGCTTAACAAAGACATACATACTCTGGCTCGAGCATCTGTATCATCTGCTCCAAACAGACACACACACACACACACACACACACACACACACACACACACACTGCAACCATAATAACCAGTCTGTATTATCATCCGAACAGAACATAACTCAACACCTTCCTCTTCCTCCTCCTTCACCTGGCAAATACCTACCCATCATCCATGACTTAGCACAGATGTCACTGACTCTGGGACCCTTCTCTAACCCACAGCTTTGGGTGAGGGGCTCATTTGGGATCCCCTGCTTCTTCCATCTGACCAGTACATACAAGTATGGGCTCTGGAGTCAGACTGCAAAAATTCAAATAGCAGGCATGCCTTTTATAACTGTGTGATCTTCAGCAAGTACTTAACCTCTCCGTATTTCAGTTTCCTCATTTGTAAAATGGGAATAATCACAGTGCTTACTTCAAGAGCGTTGTTTTGAGAATTAAAGGCGTTAATATTGAAATGACTTAGAAGAAGTTCTGACGTTTCATTGTTGCTCGATACATACTAGGCAAGAGTAATGATAAAAGTGGTAGTGACATCATTCTATTCTCACATTGTAAGTCTTTTACCCTTGATTGTACGCTTTGCAAAAGCAGGTCTATGATTATCCTTCCTGCATGCTACTTGACCTACGTCAAACATTCAACTCATTGTTTATTTTCTAATAAGTATATACTGAGGATTAAAACCAATAATGCCCCCATTCCTGAAGGGAATCCAGCCTCCTCTGAATTACATGGATATATTTTCTCCTGTGTAACTTTAAAGTATTTTCCAAAAACAAAATATAGAAAGTACCTTCTATATATCCAACACTGCTAGGTACCAAGGTAGGTAAAATGAAATGAAAAAAAAAAAAAAAATCCCTGTAACCAGAAGCTCACAAGGTAAGTCAAGTTCACTAGTAACAGTGAACAAACTGGGAGAGCCTTTTCATGACACCAAAGAACAAACTGACCTTGTCTGATATCACCCAAGAACATCTTTTCATTTTAAGGGTATGCTCACCAAGAAATTTGTCACACGTCCCCACCCTGGGGAGCAGAAAAGCTCAAAAACAATTTGATTAATGGCCCCAAGGGGAGAGCTCTGGTAGCTTACTTGCTTTGCACAAAAGAACTGAGTAAATATATGACTTGCCAACATAAAATATACTTAGAAAGTGCTAAAGCAATATTGTCCAGGCTTGCATGTAATTCAGGGTGGAGGAGGAATGAGGGGAGGAGAGGAGATAGGGGTTGAGACCCAGACCCTCAATAGTCTAGGTTGGAGACCTGCAGCTATGGTATTAACTATGACAGCATGTAAAGTGTCAGTAATGCCCCATTTTAGACTTCTGATTGCCAGTCAGCATCCTCATTAACGTAACATATTTTATGACTACTAAAGCACATGTAATGTTTTAGGTACAAGGCCCTGATCTGATTTAATTTCTTCAAATTATTTTCAAGTGATACAGCGAACCTCATTGCAACAGCAACAAAGTTCTGTATTAAGAAATTGTTATACCTTCTTAGCCATGGTACCTTGATATTTTCTTTCTCTCTTTTTTTTTTTGAGGGGGGTGCGTGGGCAGGGTTTTATTCTGTTGCCCAGGCTGGAGTACAATGGCATGTTCATAGTTCACTGTAACCTTGACTTCCCAGGCTCAAGTGATCTTCCTACCTCAGCCTCCCGAGTAGCTGGGACTATTAGGTGCATGCCACCACGCCCAGCCAATTTTTTTTTTTTGGTAGACATAGGATCTTGCTGTGTTGCCCAGGCTGAGGTCCTGAACTCCTGGGCTCAACAATCCTCCCTCCTCAGCCTTCCAAAGTGCTCAGATTATAGGTGTGAGCCCCCACACCCAGCCCCATGATGCCTTCTTAATCAAAGGTCAAATCACATCCCTCTAAAATCCAAAAAGCACAACCCTAAAAGCCCCAACTGATATAGTTAGTCTGATGTTACGTGTGACTTCTGACTCCAGGTACAAGTGTTATAAAGAATTCTACTACATTTGCTATTTTGGAAACCCTTCTTGGAAGAAGCTAAGTGTTTCTAATAAGCCATCTCATTGATCCACAAAACATTTTATGCAGGATGTATTATTTACTCACACTTCACATTGTTCGGAAACATTTTTTTACAGGGATAAGTAATCTGGACAAGCAGTTGTCATCTTAATTATAGATGCACATAATTCATGTATAAAAAATAGTAATGACAACGTCAATGTCTTCTAAATGACAGAAAGCTTAAATGCAAAATGGTTGTAAGCATAAACTTTGTTACCAGAGAGTCCTGGGTTCAAAAATTCTTGAATGAGCTATGTAAATCCTGGGAATGGTAACTAACTTCTTTCAACTTCAGCTTCCTTAACTGTTAAATGTTGGTAACACTACTACCTACCTGATAAAGTTGTGAGATAATGAATGTAATATGCAGAATGTCTGGGGTAGAATAAATACAAGCAAACTTCTTGGTTTCTTTACCTCTGACAGTTCAGCTGAGCCTGAGAAAGTTTAGCACTGTCAGGGTCCTGCTTTCAAATAAGATGTAAAATGGACAACTTGAGGTAATGAACAATCATAGAACACTTCAGAAAACAGGCAGGGGTAAGTCCTCAAAGGCTGGATGAATCCACAGCTGGAAATTACATTCTGCCCAATAAGGCCTTTAGAGACCTAAAACAGAATGTTGTAACCTTTTCTTTTTCTCAGCTGTTGGCTAGCAATGCTTTCTCCTGCTGCAAATAATAAACCAATTTCTACAATGAGTCATCAAAATATGCTGAAATTTGTCTGGAAGAAAGGCTGTCTGTGAATAAGGCCAAAAATGAGTCCATCTTTTCAAATGAAAATATGGGTGGTATTCACTGATCTTTCCATGATAGTATGGAAATCAACAAATAATTCATCTAAAAAATATTTGTTTTTTTTTGGAAAACTCATTGAGGTGGCATAAATGGGCACTTGGTACATTCTAGGTAGCATACTTGATCTATATATTAGACTGGAAATTTCTTGAGATTTGTCTAATTTTCTTGATCCTACCCAGGAATCATAATTAAACTATATAACCTTATTAATCATCAATAAAGAACACTGAGTTTGAAGTTGCAAGTAGGGTTCATAATATCCATGTTATTTTTTAAAAATATATGGAGAGTTTGAATAAAAGGAAATATGTGATTCTTTCAAAATGTAAGTCATGAATGGTACATACACACAATGGAATACTGATCAGCAATAAAAAGAAATAGATTACCTATACAAGCAACAACATAGATGAGGCTCAAATGCATTCTACTAATGTCACATTCAATACACATTGTATGATTACCTTTCCATGACATTCTGGAAAAGGCAAAGCTAGTAGTGATGGAGAATATATCCTTGGTTACCAGGAGGTATAGATGGGAAGAGAGCTGGAATACAGACAAACAACAGACAAGAATTTTTTGGAGTAAAGACACTGTTCTGTATCCTATTATGACAGTGATAACATGATTCAATGAATTTGTCAAATCTAATATATCAAAAAGTATGAATTTTACTGTTTGTACCTTTTAAAATAAATAAAAAGAAAAAACTTTAATTCACCATTTAGTGATGCTTAATATTACTTTAAGCTGTCATAGACAGGTAGTTTCTCTTGAATACAAAAGGAACTTCATTAATAAAATCCCAGGGGAACCCATTTTTTTAATACTGTATTATGTACTATGGATTGTCTGTATATTGCCAACCCACCCTTCCTTGGTTAGGGAGGCCAGGAGGTTAAACATTAAATTTCCAAGACTCCTATGCATCTGAGTTTCACCAGTTAGAAGCACTTAAATATTTAAAGGGCAGTGGCCATCTTCCTGCTGCTACTGCCCCTGGCAATCACAATTTGACAGATACAGGTTTTAGAGGAAATTACAGCAGCTATAGCAACAGTGGGTGTGCTCTTGAACTCAAAAGTCCAGTGATGGCTACAACATTCCTCATCATTCACCAGCATTTCAGGCCATTTTCTAAGTACCCAATCCCCATGTATTAAATCTTTCCTGTGTGAAATACCTAGAGTGGTTTCTTTTCTTTGCCTTGATCTCTGTTGATATAAGAGTAGTTTATTTATAAAATGTTCCCTGTCGTGGATCTTTCTATGACAGAATTATTCAGAAGTTTCAGAAACGTTCAATTTAAATCCAGCAAAATATAGCCAAAGTGAAACAACCTTCTGTTTACCAGATTTTTCAGTAGCACTCAGTCCTTGCTCACTGTGTTGGAATGATGACATAGTTGAACATATTATCTCTTATGGCTGACAGCTCCAGGCTAATATGCCAGTAGTATTAACCCTAGCAGAAGAAAGACTCCACTTCCAATGTACTTCAAATAAAATCTCAGAATTGAGCTTGTTCATCCTAATTGGTCAGGTCTTGGCATCTTCTCCATTCCTGAACCAAAAGCATTCCATCCTTAGCTGTGGGAGGTCATAGCCAAGGTCACTCTCATCACTGATAAATGAAGACAGAACATAAAACCTATACTCACTGATTAAATGTTTGCATATCCGTGGACTTTAAATATATCCTTTTCTGTTAACAACTAATCAGATTAGTTAAGCCTAAAATAAGTGCTGTAGACTTGTTTAAAGAAAAACTTCCCATGAGGCTTCACAAGTATAGCCTAAAGTATTAGGAATAAGCCTCATTTTTTTGATCCCATGTGACCTGCATTGCTGCACCTTTAAGGAGGATATGACAGCAAATTCAATATGCTTACCCACCTTGCTCAATGGCTAAAACAAGCAGTGCCTTTTGGGCAAGGTAGGTGATGACAAGGTTCAGAGGAGAAATGCAACAATGAGGATAAGGGTCATGGATGTGTAGCTAAAAATACCTTCTCATTAGGTGCACAGAAATTTTATATAAAAGAAATGATTAAGACATGCATGTAGTCTGGGCATTATAAAAATAAAAAAAGAGTTGGCCTGTGCTAATTATATAGTTTCTTTACCTCTAAAACAGTGGTTGCTCATGGTTGTGGATGCTGATAGTCTTTGTCTCTTAACACCATTTCTGCTTCTGCAGTGGATGTTGATAGTCTTTCCCCCTTAACATCGTCCCCCTTGTATGGATAAGAGGGCACTGATGTTTATCTAGAAATCCTTCCTTTTCCTGCTGTTAGTTCCCGAGGTTCCTGTGAAACTGACTCTAAAAGTGAAAGATTGTGACTTGGGCTATGACCTACCACAGCTGGAGATGGAATAATCTTGGTTCAGGAATGGACAAAATACCCAGATATAAGCAATCAAGATTCACAAGCTCAGTTCTGAGATTTACTTGAGATACTTTGAAATTAGAGTCTTTATTCTGCTATGTTTGGAATAATGGGATATCAGCCTGGAGCTGTCAATGACTGAAATATGAAACCAAACACAGCAGAAGACATGGCAGAGAAACAGAAAGAAACCAAGTATGATCAGACTGATCAAGACCCTAGACCCAGCCATGGGTTCAATGAGAACCAAAAAGTTACCTTTGTCTCACTTAAAACTCCTGTGGTGAACATACTAGTTAATTTTGCTAGTTTGTTTTTGTCATCAAAAAAGTCTTTACTGAATTAATTGATTGCCTTAGTCCCTTTTCTGTTGCTTATAATAGAATACCTGAAACTGGGTTTATAAAGAAAAGGAATTTATGTCTTACAGTTATGGAGGTGGAGAAGTCCCAAGTCAGGCAGCTGCATCTGGTGAAGGCCTTCTTGCTGGTGGAGACTCTCTATAGAAGTGACAGAAAGAGACACCTAACCATGTTAGCACACTCAGCCTCCTTGCCATGTGATGCCCTGTGCCACCTCAGGGAGGCATGCTACCATGGTCAGGTGTCTCCTACTCTTTTTCTGAAGCCACAGACCCACTCCCATGCTAACCCATTACTCCATTAATCCATGAACAAATAAATCTATCATGAGGGCAGGGCCATCATGAATCAAGCACATCTTAAAGTGATTGCCACATTGGAGATTAAGTTTCAACTTAAATTCAGGAGGGGACAAATATGCAAATTATAGCACTGACACTGAAGGTTAATCTTCAGCCCAAAATGTATATTTTTCTACATATTTTCATGTATCTAAGCACAGGTTCTTCAGCTTTCATGAGATTTTCAGATGAGTTTTAACCCCCCAAAAAGGTCAATAACTGATTTTCTAGAGAGAAAAATAACCTCAAAAATCAAATAAAAACTGCCCTTTTATGATATATTTTATTACAAATAATAATTATTTTAAAAAGCTTGACTAATTTCTACTTCTAAACAGAAAAATAGACATGGAATAACCACAGAAGAAAAGAAGTAATTAACCATGTAAGGCCAGTGTTCTAAGATTCCTAGCTTTAGGAATTTTTCTTGATTCCCCAAATCATAGCAAACATAGTGAAGGCACACACAGCAAATGTAGCTTATAGATAAGTCATAAAGATGATTTAAGTTACAAGTTGATATAATGTCCTAGTTGACAAAATGGTTGAAGAAATGTCATATTTGGCACATATTTAATGAAAATCACTTTAATACTGTTGTTTTCTTCTCATAATTTGAAGCCAATAAATTTCCCAGTACCTAGGAACTGTGACTAGAGAGAGTACCTAAGTTTTGGAGGGAACAAATGATTAAAAGAGTTATTTTTAAAAGTTGCTACATAAGAATATACACGTAGTATGTCGTGCTCCATTTCCACCCATTTTATCATAAACTTGCTCTGTTCTATTTGTGAAATCTCAGGTTGCCTATCTCTATCCTAAGGTACTGCTGCACAAGGCTAGTTCTCTGTTAATTTAGAAGGTTCTTCTGCAGATCCTTAAGGATTCTTTCCCATACATTTTGCAGTTTAATGTTAACTTAATTTATAATTTGTAACATTTTAACATTAATCTTCTAATTTATAATTTTATTGAGACCCACACAAATATAGAAATGTAGCAATGAATCAAGATAAAATCAAACCCACAGAACAAACCCTCAATATTCTACCCAGCCTCCATTTTAGAAAAGTGGTCAGACACTAGAAAAAAATAATTTAAAAATGTTCAAGTACTATAGGGAGTCAGACTGAAATGGCAGCTTTCAAAAGAGGAAGAAAAGGAAAAAGAAAGCGACAGTATTAAGCAATTTTTTTCCATAAGGAATGTTTTTTAAAAAGGCTTAAAAGCCCCAAACAGGTAAAACACAATGAAAATAACAGATACTAACTATTAAATTGATATAGGTGTGGATCCAACTTACAGGGCCAAAAATTTTTTACTGGATTTGATTTCAGACGTGTGAGGTGGGACACCTCACAGTAATGTTTACTGATAGGTACACATTACAAAAGTAAGAGAAAGCTGACATTATGGTCTTAACATCTTTATCTAGAACAGTGCTTCTCAGACTTTAACTGCAAATGAATTACCAAGCGAGCTTGTTAAACAAACAAACATACAAGCAAAAACAGACAAACAAACAAACAACAACAAAAAAAAGCAGATTCTCATTCAGTAGATCTGGGGCAGAGACAGAGATTCTGCAGTTCTCCAGAGATAGCAATGTTGACCCATCAGGAGACCACACATTGTATAGCAAGGCTGTAGATTTCAGTATTTCTCTTAACAGTTACCTTTCCACTTGAAGCTGCTTGCCAACATTTCTTTCTAAATAGTCTTAAATGTTTATATGTTTAGCAAATGATTTCTCTTCACCACAGGTAAAAAGAATACTTATCAACTTTCTTTTTTCCAAGTACTATTTTTAGAGGCGTGCTCCTCAAATTTGAGCATGCATCGAAATCTCTTGAAGGGCTGGTTAAAACAGCTGGGACCCATTCCCAAGATGCTTCTTCAGTAAATCTGTGGTGGGGCCTGAGAATCTGCATTTCTAACAAGATGACCATGCTGCCGCTTGCCCAGGCACTATGCTTTTTGACCCACTGAGGCAGGGCATCCATCAACAGCACTGCTAGAAGTTTCTGTAAGAATTTATGCTAATGGAAGATTTTTACCATCAGAGAATAATCAAGTATGGCAGCTTCAGAGGACCTGAGATTAATATTCTCCAAGCCCTCTTTTTGGAGTTGAAGGGAAACAGCACCAGAAAGATTAAGTGTCATACCCAGGGCCACAGAACTGGTAACGAAAACACTGTGAGAATCAGAACTCTATTATTTTGTTGTGACCCCAGGAGTCTTGCCCCTATACCACATAACTGCTGGTCATCGGTTGCTTGTTTTTGTTTTGTTTTTTGTCTGTTTTTTGAGACAGAGTCTCGTTCTTTTGCCCAGGCTGGAGTGCAGTGTCACAGTCTCGGCTCACTGCAACCTTTACCTCCGGGGTTCAAGTGATTCTCATGCCTCAGCCTCCCGAGTAGCAGGGATTACAGGCGTGTGGCAACATGCCCAGCTAATTTTTGTATTTTTAGTAGAGATGGGGTTTTGCCACGTTGGCCAGGCTGGTCTCGAACTCCTGACCTCAAGTGATCCATCTGCCTTGAGCTCCCAAAGTGCTGGAATTGCAGACATGAGCCACCACGCCCAGTCCCCAGCCTCGTCATCTTTTCAAGTACACCTCAATCACTCACTGATGGTCCCTAATACTACAACACTGAACAGATTTTGGTCCCAGTCATTCTCTTTTTAGAAATAATCTCCAAGAAAGGGTTTCTAAATGTGGTGCAAGGGCCTCCTCTATCAAAATCACAATGGGGCTTGGACTTGCTTAAATAGTCAGATTCTTGGAGTTGCCCCAAAACTAATGAATTTGTTGTCTTGGGATGGCATCTGGGAAAACGCATTTTGACAAGCCTGTCTGCCCACATCCACACCTGTTTGGTAAACGGTCGACAGGATGATGTCTCTTGACACTGGTTGCACATTAGAATCTCAGGGGAGGGAAGGGATTAAAAATCCCACAGTCCAGGCTGCACCCAGAGCAATTACTCTGGACTCTCTGGAGATGGGTCCTAGGAATCAGTAGTTGTCAAAGCTCCCCAGGTGATTCCAATATGCAGCTCAGGTTGAGAAACAGTACTTCAAAGATTTCCAAATACTTCCACATGCCTATTCAAGAAAAGGACATTACATTTCCAGACAAAATGAAACTGTTTTGATAAATACAGAAATTTAGTCACAAAAAATCAAGTGCATTACAGCAATTGGCTTCAACAATTCCAACATGATCCAGTGAAACTATACATTTCTACTCCAACAACATAAACACTGATGAAAGTTCTGAATTCATGTCAGAAGGGCCCCATTGAGAGAGGCCACCTGATTGCCCACAGAATTAGAAATTCTTGTTATTTCCATCTGATCACTTCTATTACAAAGTAAGGATTTTTATAAGAAAATAATTTATATGGATTTTCCAATCAGGTTACTAAATAATTAAAGCGTTCCTGCAAATAAGCAGATTGATTTAACAATAATGGCAGGTTGTAGGACACACATTAGTTCCCAGGGCCTTTTAGGGAGTATAAAAGAGAAAATGAAGGAAAACAGAGTTCCTGCAAGGTAGAGTGTCAGAAATTTATCTTTTTAGACTTCAAAGTCCGAAATATTAATGGCATGGATTTCTGAATTGCTGCCACAGATGTTCTACCTGGTGAGTTTCTTGAGGGAGTCTGTATTCTAAATAGACTTAATACAGAATTATCTAGTAATTTCTCCTAAATCAAAACTTGTTATTTAGCCCACAAAGAGCTTAAGCTTTATGAAAAGATGCCTTTTTAAAGACGTTAAAAAACTTTCAGAGGCAGAAGTGAAAACAGGTGTAGTATAATGATTGAATATAAGTAACCTCAAGGTAATAACTAATTAAAAATGAACTTGCTGATACTTGCCTTTTGGACATGATTTTAACACCTTTACTGCTTTTCTCTTTCCTTTTTTCATCCCACTGATCACCCCTTTGGTACCAATACACAATAAGATGGACACAAAAACTATCTTTCTCTTGAACACAGGCAGCTCTCTCCAGCTCATCCTGAACTCAAGTTTCTAGCAGAAACACCTTAAATAAGAGCTCAGTGAGGGCAGGGGATAGCTCTTAGCTGAAGCTTGGCCAAAACAAATTAGCTGCCAGATAAAAGGAGACAGGTACCTGTGGAAGAAGCCATCTCAGTAGCCCTGGTCTGTGTTGGTTCCTAATTCTCTCCTCCATCTAATTAGCATTTCTCAAAAGTCAGTGCTCTACAATTATCAGGGTATCTTGTTACCACGCGACTCTAACACAATAGGCCTAGGGAAGGGCCTGAGAGTCTGCATTTCTAACAAGCTCCCAGCTGATGCTAAAGCTGCTGGTCCATGGGCCATACTTTCAATAGCAAGGGACTAGATATTCTTGTTGGTAGAAAAGAAAAGACAGTGATGGTGAAAGATCATGTCCCCTGTCCCAGACCTGCTAAGATATCATAGGGTAGTGGTCAATTTTAGGTAGTGGTCAATTTTAGAGAACTCCAGCCCACAATTTTCTTCCTTGACAAGTATTATCAGACCCCTATCCACAACGCTATCCATGGCACCCATATTTGTGCTGGGATCTTGCCCCTGGCCAGTGCTGACTGGACCAAGGAGGGACATGTGCTCAAAGCTGAGCACATGAGCCGATCAGCTTCTTCCTCTCTTGAGAGTTTGGGATTGAACTTCAGGGATGCTAGTTAAGAGCTGCCTGAAATAGGCATGTAAATATCTAGGACAGTCACCCAACCTCATGTATACAGAGAAACAAGGGCAGAGAAAAACAGCACTGGAAGAGCAGAGATAAGAGAGCCGCTGAAAATCAATCACTGCCTGGATTCTTTAAAGCTTTCCAGTTCATATTTTTAGATCCTCCCCTGCTTACTCTGAGATTCCTGGACACAGCCTTGTGTTCTTTCAATACGTTCCCCTTTTTCTCACTTAAAGCAGCTTGAGAGAGTGCCTGCAAATTCCAATGCAAAGAGGATGCAGTTTCACTTTTCATCAGAGAACACATCTAGTCCAGAGTTGTATAAAACATCCTGGCTTTGTCTCAGATGTCAGGATCTTAGAGGAATAAATAGTTCATGTCCATATCCAACAGTACCAGGCAGCTTCCTGGAGCTTCCTGTGAAAAACCATGTAACCTTCTGCAAGTCATTTACAAGGAGTCTTCGTTTCCTCATGGAATGCCAGACAGTGTCAACTCTTCAAACTCCTCTATTATTAAAACTCTGTTTACCTCAAGCTACTTCCTTCCTTCCTACTCCTCCAGTCTCATCATCCTTACATGCCAAGTGAAAAGAAATCCTGCCTCATCCTCCATGCTCTTCCTTTTGCAGGTAACTCCCTTCCCAACCCATGGGAGACAAGTGGCTGGCCTGCAGAAGGCATCCAGGAGGTGGGAGCTATGCTCTTTATAAATTCCGCCCTCTTCTCTCTCTCTCTCTCACTCACTCACTCACTCGCTCACTCACCTACTCACCTGACTACCTCATCTATTCTCTCATGTTGAGCTATCATACTCTTTCTTATTATAGTCCTTGTGAATGTCTCTGATCTTCCACTTTTTAAAAAAAGTTAATGGTTCTCAGATGGCACTCGTTCTTGGGTCCCCATATCCCAAAAGAATCATTCCTCCTCCAGCTCAGCCTATCCCATTCATTCAACTGACGATAGAAGACACAATTCCAAATTCCCACTTTCCAGAATGATCACCTTATCCTGTCTTGTATGACATGTATTAGACTTGGATCAGGTGGAATTCACCTTGATAATGCTGGTTTATGCCAAATGAGTCATTAGTTAAAGGTAAACAACACAGCCAAAAGGAATCTGCAACCTTCTGCCTCCTTGAGACAAGGACAGAATATAGATTCATCTTTGTCTTAAAATGCAAGGGTATATAGCTCCATGTCATTTTTCATTAATGAAGTTTCTGTTTTTTCACTTATTGGAGAGTATCGAAGTGCACAGCCAGTCTGTTCTCATTAACAATGTGTCCTTGGATATGTCTTCCATATCCACAGGGGAAGACTTCCATTCACCTAACATTAACAGCTTAGGAAATCACTATTGATTATGACAAGGTAAACATTTCATTATCTTTTTACTTATGAAATCAATTACATACTCAAAGTCAAGTAAAAGAAGAAGTATGTTCAGTCCTCACCACAAAGATATATTCATTCCCAATTTAAACTCTTAGAATATTTTTAATTGATTTCTCTAAAATGATCTAATTCAGTCATTAAAACTATGCTTATGAAGAACATTCAATGCCATGAAACAGCACTCACAATATTCTATGAGAAAAACAATCATATGCACAGCATATTTCCTAAGTTTTAAAAATGGTTATATGTATATGTCTAGACATTCTAGAAATAAATACAACAAAATATTATTAGTGTTTATATCTGGATGGCAGAATTACTGTAAGTATTTAATTTCTTGTTTGGAATTTGAATTTCCTAAAATCTTTTCAATGCACACGCACATATATGATTAGAGAAGAAGTAAACATTAACAAAAATTATACATGGTCTACACTCAGCAAATTAAAAAAAAAAAGAGAGATTCATGCATCCCCTTTGCTTTGATTGTCCTGCTGGAAGCACACATCATTACATTAATGTGATCTGCTCACATGCTTCTTACACTGTGTTAGAAAATGAAGCACACTGGAGGAAGACTGGTGGTTTCTTTAAAAGTGTCTTAGACTGAAAGGATGGGATAAAGAATCAATTTTAGTATTGCTTTGAAAGTGCGAACACTTGCCTCTTGGACTAATATACTTAGGGTGGGAGAGAAGAAAAATAATGGCTTTAATACTTTCATGCAACTTAGCCTCTTTTTCATTTGTAAACATATTGCTTCTTACCTTCTAAGGCAATGTGTTCTGTTCTAAGATAGTCTCCGGGGCTAGAACATATTTCAACATGTATTTTATTTCTTTAAGGGATTTTTACTTGAAAAATACAGAAAATGAACAAATCTAAGTAAATAAAATCATAATTCTATGATCATCTCTCTCTCTGAAAATTTATAAAACAAGAATATGAAGTTCCCTCCTCTGCCAATCCAATAAGACTTCTGAGACACAAGCACTAGTCCTAGTTATTATATATGCATAAGCTCATATATACACACATATATATCAAGTAAATGTATACATCAATGTCAGCATATACATGTATATGTAGATCTATAACTATACAATTATATAAACATACATGCTTTTAAAAATTAACATGATGTCACTCTATACATTTTTTTGCAGTCTGCATTTTTCAAAACATACAGAATACATTTCTCAAAGGGAACCACTGTGCCATCAAATGGCACACACATTCTAAAATTTAATACTGACAAATTATTCAACAACCCCTGCCAAAAAACTACACAAGATATCCTTCAATTAGAAACTTTTTACAAAAAGAGAATAACTATGTTTATTAAGAAAATGAAAATCAAAACAGTACACTAGCCTGAAGTAGAAGGAGGAAATGCATTCAAAGTCTATGGTATTTTATTTATTTTTTCTTAAACTGGGTGGTGACTAAGGGTGTTTGTTGTCATAGTATTCCTCATGCTTTTCATATACTTTACAAATAGCCCTTTGAAACTGCTCAGTGTTTAGTATGAAAATTTTCTAAAACATATAAAATATAATATAAAGGCTCTTCCTTTCCCATTGCACCCTGGTCCACTTCTGGGATGGTATGAACACATAAATCATTTCTAATTTCCATTCTTCAAATGTACCTCCAAATCTCTAGATCAGGGACTGCTCAGTAAAAGTATAGTGTAAGTCACATTTGTGATTTTACATTTTCTAGTAGTAATATTAAGAACAATTTTAAATGGTAAAATTAATATTAATAAATTAAATGTTATTTAACCAAATACATCCAAAATATTATCAATTCATGTAATCAATATAAAAATTATTGAAGTATTCTACATTCTTTTTTTTCATACTAAGTCTTGAAAAGTTGGGTATATATTTTATACTTAGAGCCTATCTCAATTTGGACTAGCTGCCTTTCAGTGGCTCAATAACCACACATGGTTGGGATGCTGGGTTGAAGAGTGTATCTTTAGATAATATGCTCAAACCTCTATTTCTTGATTTGTTTACTGAGAAATTATCATTTAACTCCACAGTATGCCATTCCCTCCTTCTCTCCATCTCTGCCAGTTTTATTTCAATATTTCGTTTTTTAATTGACTTTTACAGCCTTGTATTTAAACCTCTCTTTCTTAATTCACCAAACTGAGTTTCTCTTAAATCCTCTCTCTGTAAAATAACAGATTAGAGTCCCTGTATTTCTCTTCATTTCTTTTCCCCTTTCTACTTCCCAACCTTTCTCCATTAATTATTACTTTTACTTTGTCAAGGTGATATCATGTTCTGTACTATCTATTTTTTACACGTTTTTAAAATTGGATGAATAACATTTACAATATGAAAATTACATAATTGTTCTCTGCAGAAACAAGTGGTAAGTATAAATGCAGAGAGAAAGCCATGCAATATTATCACTAAAGTTGTGCTGCTCAAAAAACATTAACAAAGAAAAACTGAGAAGAAGGAGCCCTCTTAAACAGTATAAACTACATCCACTCACTCAGACCATTCCATTTCATCACACTTCCTGTTAGGGAAATGTCATTTGCTTTTAGGATTTCTGAGTTCCCCAAAAATCCTATTGTAATTTTGCCAACTTTTTGTTCTGCTTTAAAAGATTTGCCAAATAACTATTGTCTTAGATTTTTTTTATTGCATTCCTTGGTCTAGTTTTTCCACCTGGTCTCGAAACCCATATTTCCTTCTTTTGTTTTATTGAGCTTACACTGCATTAATTCTTTTAGGAATGATCTGGGGTGATCAAATAATGTAGATCTTACTTGTCTGAAAATGTGTTTATTTCACCTTCCTGGTAAATGTGCAGTATGTCTGAGAACAAAATTGCAGGTTCAGAATAATTTTACCTCCAAACCATGAAGTCATTCCCTTGTCCTCTAGTCCTCTAGAAATTATCTTTTTTTTTTTTTTTTTTTTTTGAGAGGAAGTCTAGCTCTGTCACCCAGGCTGGAGTGCATTGGCGGGATCTTGGCTCACTGCAACCTCCGCCTCCCGAGTTCAAGCGATTCTCCTGCCTCAGCATCCTGAGTAGCTGAGACTACAGGCACACGCCACCACACCCGGCTAATTTTGGTATTTTTAGTAGAGACGGGGTTTCACCATGTTGGCCAGGATGGTCTTGAACTCCTGACTTCATGATCCACCCACCTCGGCCTCACGAAGTGCTGGGATTATAGGCATGAGTCACCATGCCCGGCCTAGAAATTATCTTTGTGGTCAACTTTCCACCCCACTCCCATTTCTGGACTCTTTTAACATCCTCTCCTTTTCCTTGCTATTCTGAAATATCGTGAAAATGTGTTTAGTTACTGGTCCACTCAAATTCTTTTTCTTATCACTTATCAAGTGATTATACATGCATATTATCTAACATTTACATAAAAATGTGAATAATGTTATTTAATTTTCCAACTCAGATGGAAAACAAGCTGCTAACACTAGAGATACTTTAAAAGACATGCTGCCCAGGGGAGATGATGATCCAATGCTAAATTAAAACATCTGTGTGTGTGCGCATCTTTATTTCCTCCACTTTTTTTCCCCTCTATTAGAAGATGTAGGACCACGTGGAATGATTCTCTAATGTCTCCACTTTCATTAATTTTTTTTTCCAACTCTTGGTTCTTTGTTCTGTTTTCTAGAAAAGTTCTGCATCTTTTCTTTCAGCTAATATGCTGTTTTTAAAAGTCAACAATCAGACTTAATTTCCAAGAATCCCTTCTTGCTCTTGAAGTCCTCCTTTTCATAGGAGTCTGTCCACAACTCCCTGATAAAATTTAAATTTATTTTAAAGTTCCATCTCTTCTCTGATTTCTGTTTCTTCTGAATCAGTTGGTAAATTTGTTCATGTTAAAATTTATATTTTAGTTATCTACTTTTCCCAATACTGTTGATTCTGGTTCGTTCAGTCCTGTTAGTGAAAGATCTCGAAGCCAAAAGGAAGGAATCTTGGTCCAAATATGTATCTATGTGGCTTCTTCATTTGTACCCATCAAAATGAAGATCTTTCCATTTCTGGCCAAGTCAGGAATAGTTTTTGATGAGCCTGTCATCTTGGAAGCCCAAAGAACCATGAAACATTTGGATTAAAATTTGGCTTTCTTACTGCAGTTTTCAGAATTATAGCAGATGAGGGTCTATCGTACATTATTTCAGGGTCAAGATTTATCTGGGCAATAAAGGGTTATAGTTCTACATAATTATATGGCTACATTGAAACAGATTCTAGAATTAATTTAGTATTATAATTAGTTGAAGAAAATTTCACTCACATTTAAAGCTTAACCAATAAATGAATGTATTTATTTTCACACTATTCTCACTTGTGTCATTTTAGGACATTCTACTAAAGCAAAAAGACACAATTAAAATCATGCAGTTACCTCCATCCTTTCTTATTATGGTAGTCTACACCAAAGAAAGAGCAAGTTACATGCCCTGTTTCCAGAAACAGAATAAATACTACCTCTAGGAGGAAAGGAAGTATCCCAAGATATTCAAGTTAAGAACTAAAATGATCTCTGTGTGCCTATTTAATTGCTCTTCTCTCATACCTGTATCAGATCTATATTTTAAGAAAGTTACTGAGTAACTGTTTCTTCTTAAGATTCTCTGAGTTCATAAAATCTTGCTCTTAGATGGAATCATCCTCCATGAGAACAATCACTTGCCCACAAACCTCAATGTGCAAGTTGCCTTCCATTTATGTCAACTTCACTCTTCCCTCAAGCCTTGCTACTCAGCATACTAGAGTCACATGTAAACAAAGTCCTCCAAAACTAAAATCCTCAGGAAAATAGGAAAATGTATTTCTGAAGAAAACCATTCTCAAGTAATTATATATGCACATTATACAACATTTACATAAAAATGTGAATAATGTTATTTAATTTTCCAACTCAGATGGAAAACAAGCTGCTAACACTGGGGATACTTAAAAAGATATGTTCCTCAAGGGAGAAGACAATATGATGTTAAGTATCTGTAACGAAATATAACAGCCACCAAACAAGAACAGATGCCTCAGCAGATGGTGTGCAACTTGCCCACCCAACATCCTTTCTCCTGTTTTTACAGGGTGATGAAAATGAATCCAACTAAAAATACTTGCTTCCTGAGTCTTCCTTACAATTAGGAGTAGCCTTGTAACCTTGTTTAGCCGACAAGAGGAATGTCGAGATTTGCAGGGGTAAGTTTCTACTTCTCTAAGAGAGACAATTCTCCCTGCTTTCTTTTTTTCTCCTTGCTGGGAGTGTGCATTTGACACTGGAGGTACAGGATGTATCTCGCAACCATGAGACAATGAGCATCAGGGTGAAGGCTCATCAACTAAGGATGCTGGAGAATAAACATGGACAGAGTCTGGATCCCTGAGGGAATCACTTAGCTCTTGAACCAGCTCTGGACTGCCTACCTCTGATCTTGTTACAAGGGACAACAAAGAAGCTATGTGTTCCAATGCTTTGCTGTTCACAAAACTCATTCCTGATTAACGCACTAGCAATATCTGAACCTTAGTTGCCCCTCCAGACATATGTATACGAGAACTTTAATGCTTGACCATAATAGAGATGACTTTCTCCTTTATAAAACTTCCTTTAAATCTTAGGTACACACTCTTGATCCCTTACTAAACACTCTTCAAGTCTGAAATATTTCAGAATTCAGAAAGGTAATATGGTGTGTGTATATATATATATATGTTATGCAATAGTCCCAACAGATCTGAGTATCACCTTTTAGTCTAGGCAGTTGACAAACTATGGTCAATGGGCCAAGTCCAGCCTGCCACCTATTTTTGCAAATAAAGACTTATTTGCACTCAGCCACAACTTCATTTATGTACTATCTATGTCTGCTTTCATGCTACGAATGCAGAGTTGAGTAGCTGCAACAGAGATGGTATGGTCCACAAGGCCTAAAATAATCACTATCTGGCCATTTACAGAAAATGTTTGTGGATCCTTATCAAATACATAGGTATTTATGGAGTGAAATCTATGGCTATTCACTCTAAGTGGGATAAATAAAGATTATATATTACCATCTGTTGGTTTGGGCATGATTTTGCCATTAAATTTATGCTAAACTTACAAAAAAAAAAAAAAACTAAGTTCAAAGTTTTACTGCTTCCAGAATAAAGAAAAAAAAAAGACTGAAGACCTGTAGTAGAGAGGAGAGACAAGTTAATTAGGCTGGTTTAATCCACCATGGAATGTTCAACTCAATGGCTAGTTCTTTAATGTCTAAAAGCCCAGCACGCCTACAAAATCCTATTGGCTGAGGGCCTCAAGGAATAAAGAGGCAGCATACTGCAGTGAAAAGAACAGAAGCTAACAAGAAGAATGACTTTGAATCTTACAATTCTTATGACTTTGGGTATATACTGCTTTTCTCTGAGTGTTTTCAAATCTGTCAAATGAAACAAAAGTATTAGGAACTCTGCCTAGGGCCATAGAGGATGATGAGATTATTGGTGAGCGCACCATTAACAGGGCAAGGTACAACACATCCATGTCTTATCTATAGTATTGGATAAATTAGATATACTTCACTATATGAG
This sequence comes from Homo sapiens, assembly GCF_000001405.40. Lineage (NCBI taxonomy): Eukaryota > Metazoa > Chordata > Mammalia > Primates > Hominidae > Homo > Homo sapiens. Next base: position 9,255,070 of record NC_000020.11, on the reverse strand, counting down.
CAGGTATAAATATATATTTTACTAGATATGTGTATTTATTATTATTATTTGGTTTATCTCTTTTACTGACTAGAGTGATTGCAGAAGAATCAAAATTTCTCTGGCCTTCCAAAATTTGAGGTGGTTCTTCTTGACATTTCTTAATTCTAATACTAGAAAGTTGATAGTATACTTTTACTACTTTGCTGTTCTGCACATAATTTGAATCATATGGATATTTCTCAAGGAGCTTCTCCGAAAAGCCATTGGACCATTTGCAATAAACATCCCCACATTTCAAGGGAATTTTACCAGATTCATTTTTATTGCAATATAAATATTAGAGAATAATTATGTAAATGTGATAAGACAATTTTTTTTATTTTTATTTTTTGAGACAGAGTTTTGCTCCGTTGCCCAGACTGGAGTACAGTGGCACGATCTCAGCTCACTGCAACCTCCAACTCCCAGATTCAAGAGATTCCTGTGTCTCAGCCTCCGAAGAAGCTGGGATTACAGGCATGCAACACCAAGCCTGGCTAACTTTTGTATTTTTAGTAGAGACAGAGTTTCACCATGTTGCCCAGGCTGGTCTCGAACTCCTAGGGGCCTCAAGTGGTCCACCTGCCTTGGCCTCCCGAAGTGCTGGGGTTACAGGCATGAGCCACCACGCCCGGCCAAGACAATAACATTTTTAATCCTACATCAAAACTTTACATTTCAAAAATTGCATTTTCTAGGCTGAGACATTTTTATCATAGGATTTATACACTTAAAACAGGAACTTCATTTTCAAATGTAAGCTGAAGAATTGATTTTGTTGGCTAACTCCTATATTTCTCCAAGTGCTCAGTCTTCAAATAAAAACAGTTATTTTTTAATATAATCCGGTTATTTTATTTATTACACAGCCTAACTTTTATACAGCCTAAATTTTAGATTAGTCTTCTTATTAGATTTGACAGCAGTTACTTATCATGGAAATGTATACTGCACAGAAGCTTCTCTACCAAGAAACAGGTGAGATTTCAAAAGACTGTCAGGCAGTTCCTTTGTTCTTGAGCCCAAGGGACATGAACATCATCTATTAGAGCTGGGCAGACCAAACATACTTTTGCTCTAACATGGCTTTGTTTGCACTGATGGCACCTTCTCAGTTGAAGATTCCTAACAGAGGAGCACTTATTTTTTCATGTGTGTCCTGCTAAAATTCCCTTCTCCAAAGAGAAACCCAGCAGATCCAGCTGGCAATAGAGGCACGTAAATTTGCAAGCCTATGTTTTGAGGTATGTGCACCTTCTAAATCTTCAGGAAACCTGGGAAGTGAACATGGGCAGCTTCCAGTGTACCCAAATATGGTCATTAAATCACATCTAAGTTTGGCCTCACAGATTCAGAGCTGCTTTCTATGAACAGACTTTATGCATACCTCATTTGAGCTTATCATCAACAAAGAGGCAAAACATAATAAGCAAAATGACTGCAGAATTATGAGCACCTGAAGGAAACAAAGACTGGAAGTGTGCAAGATGCCATCTAGAAGTGGAAAAAGAGACGGGAACAGGGCAACAGGGAAGGGAAACCCATTTTCACTGGGGCAAGAGTGGGGATGAGGAGCTGAAAGAAACTGGCAGTCACTGATGGCCTTCCAGATTGGGTCTGAGTAGGTATCAGCACAGAGCAGGAGCCCTACCTTGTTTGCTACCTGGAGAACGAGGAAGGTGAAGAATGAGGAAACTGCTGACAGGCAAGGAGAGGAAGGAGTTAGCCAGTGAGTGAATGGACAAAGACCAAGAATGTGCAACTCCAGCAAGTATAGCTGATTCTAGTCGGATCCCTTGCTCTGCTGGAAATGTGCACAGGCCAGAGGGAAGCAAAACCCAGTGGGGAAGTCACAGTTGGTTACTCACCCGAGAGCTTCTACCATAGTACTGCTTAGGCTACAGTGTGTCTGATTGGAGATGATGGATCAGGATTAGTCTAGGCTAGTGGTTCTCAAACTTAGCAGCTGCATTTACCAGGGCTTTCCAGAGAAACAGAATGAAAGGATATGCAGAGAGACACAGACAGATGTATTACAAGAGACTGATTGGCTCACATGATCACGGAGGCTGAGAAGTCCCACAATCTTCTGTCTGTAAGTGGAGGCCCATGAAAGCCAGTGGTGTCACTCCTGTCTAAACCAGAAGGCCTAAAAACGAGGGAAGCCAAGGTTGTGTAGGTACCAATCTAAGTGCAAAGGCCTGAGAACCAGGAGCTTCAGGATCCAAAGACAGGAGGAAATGGATGTCTCAGCTCAAGCAGAGAGAGCAAATTCACACCCTTCCTCTGCTTTTCTGTTCTATTCAGCCCTTCCCCAGACTGGATGATGAAGCCCAGCTCCATTGATGAGGGCAATCTTCTTTACTAATTTCTTCCTGAAACATCCTCATTGACATATGCAGAATATTTTACTAGCTATCTGATATCCCTTAGCCCAGTCAAGTTGACATATAAAATTTACCATCACAGCTGCATCCTAGAATAACCTAGAAAGCTTCAATTAAAAAAATGAATGCCTGTACCCCACTACAGAAAGTCTGATTCCAAGGTTCTGGGATAGGGTGCAGGCAACAGTATTTTCTAAAGTTCCCACATTAAATCTAAATTAGAGCCAAGATTGAGAACAGCTTAGACTAGAATTTCTCAAACTTTAATATGCATTAAAATAAAATGTAAATTTTGATTTCGTAGCTCTAGCATAGGACCCAAGATTTAGCAGTTCTAACAAGCTCGCAGATGATGCTGACATTGCTGGTCCTTGGACCACACTTTGAGTAGTGAGGACCTATACTTGCAGTGTCTCATATGATAGCTACTAGCCACATGTGGCTACCGAACATGTGAAATGTGATGGACCCAGTTTTCAATTTATTTTAATTTTTATTAATTTGCATTTACATTTAAAATCTGCTACTGATTTGGTTACTGGTTAATTATTACATGGAACAACTTAGGTTTATGAACACTTTTAATTGTGACTTTTATGAGATCTAAATACAGATCAAGAATATCTGATGAACATTTAGTATCTGAATTGAGACGTGCTATAGGCATAAAATACAGACTTAATTTCAAAGACTTTGAAGAAACAGATTATAAAATATCTCGCTGACAATTTTTATATATTGGGTACATGTGGAAATGATAATAGTATGAATATATTGGTTAATAAAATATATAATTAAAATTAACCTGTTTTCTTTTTGCTTTCTCAAAAAATATGGCCATTAGGAAATGTTAAATTATGTATGTGGCTAGCATTATGTATTTTTTAAACAACATTGGTCAAGATCAAAGGGAATTGAGGTCTTTATTATTGCCAGTCATTTATTATTGCCAGTAATCCATCTAATGGGTAAGAACTAAGGGGAAGGCTGCAAGTGACCTTCTGAGCAAGAAGTTAGTAAAAAAAGGGAGCCACATAAGAACAAAGTCCTTTGCCTCTGCCTCTTTCCATCCTGAAATTAAATGCAGCTGGGGGAAGAGATAACGTATGGAGCTTTGGCAGCCATTTTACCACCATGAGGAGACAAGCATCCAGGTCCTTGATGCCACTACCGAGTTGCCAATAAAATAGAACGCTTCACCTCAGTATTTCTTGTTAGATAAAAAATAATTGTTCTTATGGTTAAAATCAGTGCTTTTTAAATGTTACACTACATATGAATTACCTGGAGATTTTGTTCAAATGCAGATTCCCTTTCACAAAATCAAGGATGGGGACTGAAATCCTAAATTTCTAATAAGCTCCCAGGTGACATCTATGCAGCCGATATGAGGACCACACTTTCATTAGCAAGGGCTCAAACAAAATGACTTAGGTATTCTAGTTCTTGCTGTTGAAAGCTCTCCTAACAAAACCAGGTGGCAAAGCCAACCTTTGCCCATTAACAACAGCTCAATTTGCACACCATGGCTGGATGCATAATCATGACTGAGCAACTGGGGATCCAGGACCTAGAAATTTGTCCCTTGCCCAACAGATAATAGCAAGAGGGCAGAAAGCAAGGGTTCTGTGGCTATATCAGTTTGGAAGACACTGGGGTAAAAACAAAGTTAAAACACATTTCTCTGTTGGACATGCATAGTCACTACTATACTAACACACTCTTTAATTCTGAAAGTATTGTTGATTACAAAACTCTTCACAGAGAATATTACTGGAGTAATGTGACATGGAACACATTTTAGAAAATGCTGCATTATTCAGTTCATAAGTTAACAGAACACCTGATGGCCTACAAATCATGATGCCACATGAGATGTAGTTTGTGAGGTACTAAATGTGTAATAAGCATGGAGTTTGAGGTGAAGTAATCTAGATTCATTACTCACTGTGTTGCACACATCACATACCAGATATGTGATGATGGGCATGCCACTTCCATTCTGTGAGTTGAATCCCTCACCTGCAAGACAGGCAAATAATGCCTGCCTACGTTACAGAACTATGGTAAGAATATGTGCTCACACATCTCAAAAGGACACTTCCTGGATGTGTAACAAACAAACAATTTTTATGTATTTAGAACTATACAAATGCATCATGGGAGTAAAATATATAACTCATATGCAGTCTTAAGGTAATACTTGGGGGAAATCTTGGCTTTCTGAACATCTTAGGGGAATTCATTCACTGTCCTTTGTTCTTAAGAGTGCTTCATAGAAAAGCTGCATGTGTTTAGAAGTGTTTTAATGCTGTAAAGCTCACAGAGTTTAAGGAAGGTTTGTGGGTACCACCTGACAGGTGCAGGCTGGCTACCCAATAGGTCTCTCTGCACAGGGCATCCATCACAGAGTGTGTCCGTCACTTTCATAAAGGTAGGATGCCCAGAGCTTGCAAGGCTTCAAGGAACTTATTCTTAGTAAGCCAACACAAGGCTGAAGGATTTTTTTGTGCCAAAATACTGATTTATAGTGAGACAGAATAGGATAACTCTTAAGTGGATCATAACTTTAACAAGTTAAATTATTTGCTGCTTAGAGGCAATGGTGCATATGAAGACACTATTCTCTTATGAGTAGTGCTGATAATAGTCTGTCAATTTCTGCCTTTTTTCTTTTTCTCTCTTTCTATAGCTGACCTCTCTCCCTTATAACTAATGCATTCCTTGGATACAGAATCATTCATTTGCTCAAAAAATATTTACCTGGTTCTTTCAGTGTTGCTATATACTGAGGAGAACATAAATATAATATAGACAGGGTCCTGTCTTTCCCATAGGTTAAATTATAAAGGAGAGATAAAGCATGCACGTGAATAATAGCACGTTGAGATAGTGTTTCCCTAACACCTTATGAAAGACACATAGATCATTTCTGGTTTAGGGGATGTGATAGGCAGAATGATACCTCCCTAAAGACAGCCATTTCCTAATGCCCAGAGCCTGTGACTATGTTAGGTTATATCACAAAGGAGAATTAAGATGAAAAATGGCATTAAGAGGCCAGGCATGGTGGCTCATGCCTGTAATCTCAACACTTTGGGAGACTGACGCTTGAAGCCAGGAGCTCGAGACCAGCCTGGGCAACATAGCAAGGCCCTGTCTCTACAGAAAATTTAAAAAAATAAAAATTAGTTGGGCATGGTGGCACACACCTGATGTCCCAGCTACTTGGGAGGCTGAGGTGGGAAGATCCCTTGAGCCCAGGAGTTAGAGGCCACAGTGACCTGTGATTGTGCCACTACACACCAGCCTAGGCGACAGAGAGATACCTTGTCTCAAAAATGGGTGCAGCACACCAACATGGCACATGTATACATACGTAACAAACCTGCGTGTTGTGCACATGTACCCTAAAACTTAAAGTATAATAATAATAAAATTAAAAAAAAAAGCTGGCATTAAAATGCTAATCAACTGAATCAACTGACCTTAAAATAAAGAGATTATCCCAGATTATCCACGTGGACTCAATGGAATCACAAAGGTACAAAAGTCCTTAAACAGGGGGAAAGGAAGAGTAAGAGTAAGAAACAGAGAGATGACATTGTAAGAAAGACTTGATGGTTTTGAAGATAGAAGGGAGCTACACGCCAAGGAAAGCAGGCAACTGCTAGAAGCTGGAAATGGAAGGAAAGGGTCCCCCTCAGGAGCCCCCAGAAAGGAAAGCAGCTCTGCCAGCCCCTTGATTTTAGCCCTTGATTTTAGCCCAGTGATTTTGGACTTCTGACTTCCAGAATTATAAGAAAATAAACTTGTGTTGTTTTAAGTCACTAAATTTGTGAGGATTTTCTAGAGCAACAATAGGAAATTAATGCAGGGGATGAGAGAAAACCTCATAAAGGAACCTGCCTTGAAGTTGAGCCTTAGGGAATTTGAAGACATATTTCTGACACTCAATAAATTAGAAATAAATACATAGTTCTCAGTGTGTTAAAAGAGTCAGTAGGTCAGATTTAAATTTTCCACTCAATGAAACAGAAAACAGAAATAAATAATGCAAACTCTTTATGTAATTTTTACTAAGTTAATCTGACACAAAAGGCTGCTGGCCCTTTTTATTTCTAACATGTTTAAGCGATGCCAAAATTAATAATCAAAACACTATGTATGCTCCAGGAACTTCAAGTGATTATCACATTTATTCCTAATCTTACAAACTATCCCTTTATCCCATATTAAGAAACTCTTTGAGTTAACCTGGTGTAATAAAAGATTTCCAATTTTGGTATTAGTTTCAACCAAATCAAAAAACCTCAAAGTCAGAGGATTTAGATGGCCTGAAGACAGAAAAATGCAAAGATCAACCACATAAAAAAATGCTGGCGTTCAAGTGAACATCATTGTACATGAGTATTAATCACAGTACATGGATAAACACACATACACATACTTTCGATGTTATGTGTATATACGTATATATACATATATATACACAGATATAGTAATGGGTATAGATGGAGATATATAATATATATGTAATATAAACATTCATCTTATTCTCATGAGAGCTAACCGATCACAATACATTAGAAACATTGTCCACAATACTACAGTTCTCAGTGTGACAGGACACATGCATTGATTCTGCTTAACTCTATTAATAAATATTATGCTGCTGTAAGTCGGGGCTTTGTAAAATGAAGAAAGGTATTACAGGCTATTTAAATTTGAAAGAAAAATGTTTTTTAAGAAATAAAAAATATTTTTGTATAATTTCTATTGAGAGGAAATGGAGGCTGCATTAAATGTTTCCCATTTTATCTCCACCTACAGAAATCAGACCAGAGTGCAATGCCCAAGAGTGGAAATCAGATCACCAGGTGCCTGGAGCACCTGCCTCCTCAGGACCTCCAGGAAATCTATGTTTACATAATTGCTCTATTCTGCACTTTGTTTCAGAACCCAATCTACCTCAAGCCCCTTTGGAAGTGGGAACAAACTCAACAAATAAAAATCAAAGAGAATTATTCATAGACTACACTATATGCAAGCAACTTATCAATTTAGTACCAACAGGGAAAGGATTCAACTAAACAACTAAACTTAACAAAACAACTACCCAGGAAGGTTAGTAACAGAAATGTGTCCAAGTGAGTGAGTTTTTATTTTCCATCTGCACTTGAAGAGGGTTGTATTTTTATTCAAAAAGAGTTTACATAATGTCTACAATATCTTAGGTGCTATGTTATACATGCAAGTGTTCAGAAATGTCTTGCCTACCCATAACTTCATAAACTACTCAAAATATTTAATCAAACTTATGTGATGACAACTGGGGAAAACAGAGGCTAGAGCTATTTCTAAAAAAGCTTTTCAGGTGCTCAACCTGCGGTCTACAGAATTCAGGTAATTCATGAACTAAAATGAAAACAAAGTTACAATTTCATTTATACTACCTCTCATTAAAATGCAGAGTTTTCTTCAATTATGGGCATTGGCAACAAACTACAGTAGTACTAAAAAGATCTGTGATTCTGCCACCAATAAAAAACACAGATATCTTAATATCACATTATGATGTTGAAGTATCTTAATATGCTGGGTACTGTCATCACTACTTTGAAATAATAGTAACTAAGAGGCCTAATGCTATATATTATTTTATGTATTAATATAAAGATGCACACAGTTACTATATTGCAATTCATAATACTTTGAACTATTGTGCAATACAACTGATTTCTTTGGTAATCCTATATGTTTTGTTCTAGGTATTAATAAACACTATTCTGAGAAGGCTTCTCCAGATGCCAAATGGGTCAATGGTATGAAAATATTAAGACTCCCCTAAGCAACTAAAACAAGGCAATTTACCCAGTCGAGTTCAAATCCAGTCATATTGAATAACTGGGATCATATATGACAAGAGAAGACAATTATAAGTATGTTTCCCTTTTTTAACTCCTTTATTCACTCATCATGCAGCAGATAGCAGAGTGACCCATACCTCCAAAACACCAAGGCAGACGATGTTAGGATACACAAAGTTGAAAAAAGCAGTGCTGTCCTCAAGATGCCAAAGCCTTACCAAAAAAAAAAAGTGCTATATGACAATTGTACTTAGACAACATTACCACAGGAGTATTAAGTGTTGGATTAAAGAACTAATATTTGAAAGCAAACTTTGAAAGTTTTTAGCTAACTTGAACTGTGTTTTTCATCAGAAAACAAATCTGGTATAGCTGGGTTTGTACATCTGCTGGAGGGAGAGTGAGACCATTCACAGGGCGGTTATAACAATTCCCAGAACTATTAGGTTGGTGCAAAAGTAATTGTGGTTTTTGCCATTGAAGGTATGTATAGTGGTAAGGGAGAAACTGAATGGTGATTCAGAGCATAGAGATTATGTTTTTTTATGCACAGGGCTTCATCAGAAAAATGGAAGGAATTGTCAATAACAATAAAATGTTCAGCTAGATCAACTCAGTATATAGTATGTATTATACAATTATTCAAAATAGTGTTTAACAGTACTGTAATAACATGAATAAATGTTTTGTCATATTAAGTGAAAAAGAGCTATATAAAATTATCTAAGTTTATGGTATATGTAGATTGTTGCAAAAATGTCTTCAATTCTTTATCCCTCCCTGTATCCACACCTGTATCAGTTTTCTCGGGCTGCTTTAACAAATTACCACCAACTAGACAGCTTAAAAACAGCAGATATTGGCCGTGTGCTGTGGCTCACACCTGTAATCCTAGCACTTTGGGAGGCTGAGGCGGATGGATCACGAGGTCATGAGTTCGAGACCAGCCTGGCCAATATAGTGAAACCCTGTCTTTACTAAAAATACAAAAATTAGCAGGACATGTGGCATGTGCCTGGAGTCCCAGCTACTCGGGAGGCTGGAAAAAAAAAAAACCCACCAGATATTTATTGCCTCTTGGTTCTGTAGACCAAAAGTACAAAACCAAGGTGCTGGCATGGCCATACTCCCTACAGAGGTTCTAGGGGGAGACTCCATTTCTTGCCTCTTCCAACTTCTGCTGGTGGAAGCATTCCTTGGCTTGAGGTTGCTTCAGTCCTATCTCTGCCTCCATCTTAATATCACCCTCTCCTCTTTGTGGGTCTCACTCAGACTTCTTCTGCCTCTCTTTTGTAGAGATGCATGTGACTAAATTTAGGGCAGGGCCTATCTGTTTATCCAGGATAAACTCTTCCCCTCAAAATCCTTAACTTAATCACATCTTTTGCCATAGAAGGTAACATTCACAGATTCCAGGGATTTGACATGGATTTTGTGAGCCCTTTTTTGGCCTACCCCCAAACACCTTTGTCTTGTGATACTGTGGTTCTTCCCATCAAGAAGTGGAATCTATTTCCTCACTCCCCAAAATTCTGGACTGACCTTGGGACTTCCTTTGGCCAACAGAATGCAGCAGAAGTGACTTGGTGCCAATTCCCAGTTTAGCTCTCAAGAGACTTTGCCTACTTCCAGTCTCTTTCTCTGTCTCTCTTGAACTCCTGAACTCCTGCCTCCACCATATGAACAGGCTGGGCTAGCCTTCTGGATGATAAGCGGCACATGGCACAGTTGTCCCATCCTCAACCTACAACTGGCCAACTCCCAGAGGTGTGAAGGAGAAGGCTGCTCTTGCCCAGACAGCCACCAGCCAACATGTCAGCTGACAGACATACACATGAGCATAGCTGAGATCAGTCAAGCCTGGTCCACTTGCTCAGAACTGCCCAGCGTTCACAGACTCAAGAAGAAGACTAAATACTTAATATTTTAAGCCATGATGTAGGCATTATACTGCATTTTCTTTAATAAAAGAAAAATAACAACCATCACTATTTACTATCAGAATTCAAGCACTGCAAAATTGGGTGCCTACTATTTATTGCAAATTCAAAAGGGAACTTCATTTAAAGAACAAACTTAAACTTTTCAGCAAAACAACAAAAAAAGTCCACCTAAACACTCTTTACTTAACTGATCATCAAGTACATACAGTAAAGTCCTGAACAGACTGACTAAACTGTTGTTTCTAACAGGGGATTGGGATTTATCATTTGACACTTCAATCACACGTAGACAGAAATTATGTATTGTATGGGGCCAATATTACCTTTTTTTTGTTCCCTGCAGGAGTTCAGAAAACAAATCACTTGTTTTCATCTCCAAAACTAAGTTTCTGAAAGTAACTAGTCATAATTGATCCTTAATTTTGATAAAAACTAGTCATCAGATTAATATTTTTCCATGACTAAATCTCTGTCCTTACTAGCAGAACTAAATTGATTTAGAGTTCAAGTTCCTTAAAAAATATTTTGGAAATGTCATTATATTCTCAGCCACATTATATGGTATTCTCTTACAGCTTTTTAATTGAATTCAACATGCAATGGGAAATGAAACCCAATTATCTTGGGGGTTTCTAGAAAATGTGGGAAAGTTCATCTGAGTAGAGAAAGAGAAATGATTCATGATTAGGATGCAGCAATACGACCACAGAATAACATCACTCTAAGCTTAACCAACACCTCAAGATTAGGGATCAGGGAGAGGGACAGGACATTACTGCTCACAAGGGACAATGCTTCTACCATACATGTCATAGGACTGACCATTCACCAATGGCTTCTGGCCATAACAACCTCTGAATGTCCAGGATATACAAAGAGACTCTAGTCCTTAATAATATAAAATAACTTTTCATGAAGGCTAACCATGTTCTAGGCACAATTCTTATATTTTACATGAATAAGCTCAATTAAACCTCACAGTTACCTATGAGATAATAATGAGTAGTTCACAATAATTCCCATTTTACAGATGAGAAATTTGAGGCACAAACTAACCAAAGGTTGCAGGAGGCTAGGAAGTGGCACAGCTGGGATTTGAATCCATGCGGTCTGGTTTTAAAGCATCCTATTAACACCTCTGCTTTGCTGCCTCCCCTTTATATCCACGTTTTAAAAAACCAAACTTCCAGATACATTCGGATTTGAAAAATAATCAAAAGGCTATGCGCTTTTCAAAAAAGAAGGATGCAAAAAATTGCAGCTTCAAACAGAGAAGTCATCAAGAGCCTTGAGAAATCACCTGCTCCAACCTCCTGTTGGCAAATGCCTCTCTAAACTGCTCTTTCACAAACACAAATTGGAGTATTGGCTGGATGCAATCCCATGAAATCCCAAATGGATCTGACCTCCTTTGAGAATCACAGAATCATTCAGAACCCCCACTGAAGTCATTTATTGGCAGGAAGTCTTGCCTTTTTCTAAAATAAATTTCTTCTCGATTAATTTGGGCATTCATGAAGAACAGCTCAGCAGCATTCCCTTTAAATAAAATCCTCCAACCTATTAATCCCACCAGTGCTGTACTCTCTGGGTTCATCAAGTTAATTTCTTTAACCTTTCTCTCTAGAATTTCTATTCTATTAACAATCTTGATGTTCTTTGAACTTTCTGCAGTTTTTCTATACCTCTTTCCAAGGCTGCCAGGTAAAATACAGAACATTGGGTTATGTTTGGTTCTCAGATCAACAACAAATAATGTTTTAGTATTAAAAGTACATCCCAAATATTACATGGAACATACTTACACTAAAAAATTTACTTGTTGATGATCTGAAATTCAAATATAGCTGGATGTCCTGTATTTTTTATTTGCTAAATCCATCTATCCATTCCACTTCTTTGATGGGCTTTGAACCCATCAATACCACACAGAACCCTAATTCAGCTGCCTCCAAATTGAGCACGCATCAACATCACCTGGGGAGGGCTGTTAACTCGCAGATGCCTAGATCCCACTCCTACAGTTTCTGATTCCATGGGTCTGGGGTGAGCCTGAGAATCTGCATTTCTAACAAGTTGTCAGGTGACATGGATACTGCTCATCCAGGGTCCACACTTTGAAAACCACTACTCTAATTCCCTGATTTAGGGTAAAGCACAAGAAAGAGGCACCTCCAATCCTGTAAAATCCCCAGCTAAACAGCCTAAGCCAAGAGAAGGGCATGAGAGTCTCATCTGTGTCCATTGGACATTCAGGGCCCCTTATCTCAACCCTATTAGTAAATCAGAAAATGCCTAAATTTAAGAAGGTCCAGCCATTGCTTATATTGGTTAGATTCCCCCAGATGAAATGGTCCCCTTTATTGCTCACATGAATTATCACCCTGAGGCAAGCTTGTCAAGGGACAAAGGAGCCATCCCTTTGTTTTCATTTGCCCTGAAGGAACTTGCCCCTTGTTATTAGGAAGGAGCCTGTGAGGTTTTCTATCCCAAATCCCCTTCTTTAAAGCTGATCTCTTCATAATGACTCTTTCTGTTTTATTCTCTGAACTTCCTCCACTCTGCGAGCACTGGGGAGTCTACCATACCCATGAATCTGACTCAATAACTGCCCAGCTTGCGGCAGACTGCTTTGATGCCTCCATTTAATAACCTCCCTGTATGCTTGGCCTTTGTCCTGTAACTTTGACATCTCTTCCCATTCTGACTCTACGGTTCACCTTGGGACTTGTTTTGGCCAACAGAATGAGAAAACAGCACCTGCACCTGCAGTTCCAAATGTAGACTTCCCAAGGCCTTGCATGCTTCTGCTCCTTCTCTTGGAACCTTGTTCAGATGCCTCAAACAAGCCCAGGCTAACCTGATAGAGGCTGAGAGGCCACATGGAACAGAGCTGAGTTGTCCCAACAGAGGTGATCCAAAATTGGCCAGCCCCCAACTGACCCACTAGCTGACCACAGATGCATGAGTAAGCCCAAATGAGCCTAATCCAAACCAGCAAAAAAAGCCTAGCTGACCCATTAATTTGTGACCAAAAATAAATGTTTATTGTCATAAACCAAGGTTCTGGAGAGTTGATTATGCTGACATTCTGGTCATGCTTCAGCTCCATTCTCTGATTCTACTGACTTTGTCAAGGCTCCTGCCTGCCTTCCCATGACCTGCTCTCTAGGGAAGGAGCTCTCCTTATTTTGGCTCCTGCAGGTTATACCCTTGGCTTAAAGCCTCCTATTTCCATTGCTACTCTAGACATAATCTTGAATGCATCTGGTGATTCATCACACAAGTATCCTGACTTGGAAAATTATATTCAGTGTTGGTCAACAATTATCACATTTCTTTCATTTCCTTTTCTTTTATGCTTTGCCAATTTTGTTTCCCATTCTGCTTTTGGTTCATTGGTTTCTCTTGTGTGGTTTGGAGTGAGTGAGTGTGTGTGTGTGTGTGTGTGTGTGTGTGTATGCATGCATGCCTCTGTTGTTACCATTTTGCCATCAGAGGAATAAAAGAAAATGATCTACAGACAGATTTGCTGATTTCAGCTTCTCTGACAGCAGGAAGTACAAGGGAGGTGTGTAAATGGGCAAGATAAATAGAGAAAGGGGAGAAAGGTAACAGTATTTACCCCAGCCATAAAATCATTACTGGTAACAAAGAAATCAGAGAAGCCTTCATTCAAGTAAGCATTTCCTTTGTAGTTAAGCAATAAACCTAAACCCACCACAAATTAATTTTTCATTTACTTCCAGTTTTGCATACATTTCAAAGAAAACTGAGCCTAAATATTCCTTCCATAGGTCTTATCTTTCCTTCTAAACCATTGGAGACAGAGAATTGAAGAAGAAATATGACTGATTCAATGTATTAGATAGGATTTCTGCAAATCAAACAATTGAGATCTCTGCTACCACCAGGAAATGCAGTAACAAAGTTCTGGTGTGTACCATGATCCATCAGAGCAGACAACGGTTTACCTAAGTGGCCAGGGTTGTTGGACTGAACTTCTGTGTTTGTTACTCATCTCCCCCTCTCTCCTTTCCCTCTCATCCTCCCAACCCCCCAATCAAATGAAAGGGAATAACAAAGAGAACTGACAGATAACCAAAGAGAAGAGAAAGGGTCAAGAACAAACAAGAATAGAAGATAAAGACAAAAAAGCAAGGACAAATGTGCAATCAGAGACCAAGGCAGGGAATGCTACAGACCAGAATATGCCCAGAGGGAACTGAAGTGGGCATGGCTTGGAGCTGGCGCAGGGAATAGCAGGAAAAAATCAAGCTCAGACACAGCACAGAACACAATAACACAATAATAGTTAGGAAAATTCACAGGCTAGAAGGCTGAAGTTGTAAAGTTATTTACAATATACGATGGTTACAGAGAGAATGAAAGGGAAAACTGGGCAGAAGGTGAGCAGAGAGAAATAATATAGTTACAAAAATTATGAGACCTACTTAACACTAGGTATCATTATTGGGCTCAGAACACACTACCCCAAAATATGGCACCTGGAGGTCACTCTCTAATCCTCTCTCATTTCTCTCCCTTGAAGCATGGTCATAAAAAAAATTCTTCGGCCTACCTCCCCTGAAAGTAGGTCATAAGACCCTCATTCCAGAGGGCTACTCCTCTGTACAGACACCAAGAAGAATCTGAACAAATAGGCCTTGCTGAGTTCACCCCAGTTTATTACTATGTGATGGTTAATACTGAGTGTCAACTTGACTGGATTGAAGGATGCAAAGTATTGTACCTCAGTGTGTCTGTGAGGGTTTTGCCAAACGAGATTAACATTTGAGTCAGTGGACTGGGAGAGGCAGACCCACCCTCAATCTGGGCAGGCACCATCTAATCAGCTGCCAGCGCAGCTAGAATAAAGCAGGCAAGAGAAGATGGAAGAGCAGACTTGCGAGTCTTCCAGCCTTCATCTTTCTCCTGTGCTAGATGCTTCCTGCCCTTGAACACTGGACTCCAAGTTCTTCAGCTTTTGGACTCTTGGACTGACACTGTGGTTTGCCGGGGGCTCTGAGGCCTTTGGCCACAGACTGAAGACTGCACTGTCAGCTTCCCTACTTTTGAGGTTTTGAGACTCAGACTGGCTTCCTTGCTCCTCAGCTTGCAGATGGCCTACTGTGGGACTTCATCTTGTGACTGTGTGAGTCAATACTCTTTAATAAACTCCCCTTTATATATACATCTGTCCTGTTAGTTCTGTCCCTCTAGAGAACCCTGACTAATACATACGATGATAGCGTACCCTTCCATCCTTCAATCATACTTGAGCACAACTGTCCACAAAAATACAGTTTTCCCTGGATACTTGGGCATTCATTTCCAAAGACTCCTGTATCACAGAAAGGTTTGGTTAAATAAATTTGTTACGTTTTTCTCTTGCTAATCTGTCTTTGTTATAGGGGTCAGCCATGAACTGTGAGATGGGTGTGGAAAAGATACTGCTTTTTCTCCCCTACAGGATATATCCATTGAAATCCAGTTTATAATGCAATCTATACTGACATGGGAAAGCTATCATGATGTAAGATATGAAAAAATAAGACAAAGAAAATGCTTGGATACTTGACAACGTAAAAGAGGACTGTTAAGAAGTGGGAGTGGAAGGAAGAAAGTTCAAGAGAGGATAGTGGAGCAAATACCACCATCTTACAGGGTAAGGAGTCAAGACAGACCTTCAAATGTTAGAGGAATAAGATACAGAAAAATGCTATTTAAACTAACACGGGCCACAGAAAGAACTATAAATAGTAAGGTAAGTATCAAAAAATCAAGATTGTAGTTTATATAAATCTTTATTCATTAAGTAAGTCAATAGCTAATATTAAAACTGATCAACTGAGTACTGGAAGACTGAAGATTTAACTTAGATTACAGCAATGACCACCATAAGAATTAAAAACAGAAACGGCTATAGTGATCGCCTCCAAAAAATTAAGTGGAGATGCAGGAATTGATCTATCTCATTACATGTGCATACATTACTCTTATTAAAAAATCTAAAATGTTATACTTTCCAAACTGAATAATTATTCAACATAGGTCCAGCCCAATTGGCTATCCAGAGGCACAGGAGGGTACTTTTTGATACAAATCAGAAAGTTTCTCAAATATAACCTAATTGTCTTTGAGTAACATCATTTATTTACAGCATGGAAAATTGTACTAAAAGCCTCAGTCATGAGGAACTGTTAACAATGCCCACTTTCCTTTTATGCTCTGGAAAATCACAGACACAGGTATTGCAGTATCAAAATCAGTCAACACAGCAGCCACCCAGAAAGGTGGCCTTGCCTGGTGACAGCGTGATATCAGAAAGGACTCAAATGATAAGACTGGATTTGGAAATCAAAGGCTATGCTGTTCACCAGTGTTCCTGCTGTGCTGAAGGATGACACCCACATATGGATAAGGTGTCCCTCGGGGGGGGGTCAACTCCACTTCCTCCTCCACAGTGCACACCTGTGCAGCAGCCTGCACCCACTGACCAGGCAGTAACCTCAGGCTGTTGGCAAAGGACTATTTCTTTCCGAAACCATGTTCATGGGCCATGAGATGTTTGCTTGTATTGAAGTGACAACAGAACTCCTTCAGAGTTCAATGTTAAAACAGTATATGCTGGCACTATATCCATAGGCACCTAGTTCTTCCTACAACAGCCATACCTCCATACTTCTCAGAATCACCATTCTAATCCAGCTGCTCAGAACTCTCTTTCCAGCTGCTCTGGAAAACTCCAGAGCCTCCCCAGTGGTGTCCAAGTTAATCATTTCCTTCTTTCGCAGTCCCTATCCCTAACCAGGCCAGTCTTCTAAACCTGCATGCCTCTACGTGATTATTCGCAGAGCACTGCTTTCATCATGCTACTCCATTCCTCTCCTAATGAAAAGCTTTCTCTGCCTTGTCACTGCCCACCATGATGTGTCTCCAAAGTTCCAAGCAATATTAATTCCTCCCTTGGTTCTTATAAAAAATACTAAGAAAGAAAAAAAAAGATTCCACTATAACTCCCTTTAGGGGATTCACAATCTATATCAGGATACTCTGGGTTCTGAGAATGTCATGGTAAAGAAAAGTGTCTAACTGTGTTTAGTTCAGCATTTCACTTCTGTGCAAAGTATCTATTAACACCACTTAAAATTCCTCTTTTCTTGTGCAAACTTTGGTAGCACTACTGGTTTATGTTCTCAGGATCTGTGGTCTACTGTCATGCTTCTCAAACTTGAGTGTGCACAGAAATCCCTGGCAAGTTTGTGAAAACACAGATGGCTGAGCCTCATCCCAGAGAGTCGGAGGCAGTAGATCAGGTGGAGCCCAAGATCTGGCATCTCTAACAAGCTCCTCAGTGATGCTGCTGGTCCTTGGACAATACCTTGAGGAGCAAGCTCCTACTAGAAAAAGTCCAAACTCCTTAGCGTTTCATTCAGGGCCATTGCTGCTTTAATCTAATCTTCATCACCCACCTTTCCTCCAATAACTTCACTTTGGTTATCTCATGCTGCAGCTAATAAAGATTAGGATATATGGGGGTGTGGGTTGGGGGATGTGGATGTGTGTGACAAGCATATAGTCGTTTAAACATACGTATGCACACACACACATCCTGATCTGAGAAGTGGTGATATGGGTATCCTACATATGAAAAGTCTTGACCTAGGATTTGTACATTTTCCCACATGTGAATTATACCACAATAAATAAAACAGTAAAGAAAAGTGAGGAAAAATAAAGTATAATACAGAAAAGCCGTCTTTTTTTTCATTCATTCTCTCTTAAGACCTGTGGGAGAATGTCACATTATTCCACAATCTGTATTTCTGTGACACAGTATCATGAAGGTATCATTTAGATAAGTTATTAGAATAAAACCTATCACATAGGTGTCATGATGTCCTATGTGTTCAACACATAACAAGAGTAATCTGTATGTGGCTGGGTAAATAAATCATATTTCAGTTGTCTGTTCCCATGAAAGAAATGATCTTTTCCTTTGTTTCTTACAGGACAACTTTTATCCAAAATCACATAACCTAAGCTGCCTTTGGATTAAATAGCATTCAGCTGTTGATCTCATCTGACATTGTTAGTTTCCATAGAAACTCACGTAGAATGCTACCGCTTGTCTGAAATAAGTGCCTCTCCCATCAATCCAAAATGAGTCCAGGAAAGCTCTGCCTTGGTGTCTGACATCTCCCAGCACTGATCTGTTGCAGAAGGACAGACAGCACTTAAAAATCAGCATCTGTTACCATTATCAGGAGAGAGGTCTCCACTACAGACACACACACGAAAGATTAGACACTGCCTTGTGCAATTAGGCTCAGTCTAAGTAGGCTCTTCTCTGCAGGACTCTTGATATGAATGTTCCAGAGAGTCGTATTTGCAAAAAAACACACGCACACAAAAGGAAAAGCCTGAAAAGATCTTGTGTCCTATCAATTTATATCATTACATAATTACCAGCAGACTTTGAAGGTAAAGTAGTTCTTTATGCTATAAGGTTATTCTTCCTTGTTCTGGAAGGCGGCGGTTGGCAGGGTTGGAGGGGTGGAGAACAGCAAGGATTTCAGGCCTTGGAGGAAGCACTAACCTATAGGTCACTTAAACATTCTTGGTTTTATCTGTGCCAGAGTACCTGCTTACCATAAGCAGATTTTCCTGTACAAACATCAAGACATCAAGAGACAAAATTAATCTAAGGTATAAAAAGTCAAGAAAGAGATTACGCTTAGGGAAGGGATGGTGACCATGGAAAGCCCTGAAGGGGGATCCCGCATATTGGGAATGTCCTGTTTCTTTATCAGGTTACCTGGGCTCATTCACTTTCTGAATATCCAATAAGCTATCCCCTTATGATTTGCACAACTCTTATAAACAAACAAATCACAGACAAGCCAAGGCATCTAGGCAACAAAGATATCTGGCCTGGAATAGATAAAGACAATCACAGCCTGCTAAGTTTCCTGCTGAGCTAAACCGGAAAGGTAAGTTAATAACAAAATCCAGACCACTCGTGAAGATGCCAAAAACAATGACTGTGGAGCTTAAATTACATTCATCCCTCTTCAATAAGAGTTGGTTCATGAAGTGTGTCTTGCCCAAGCATTTCTTACTCACTTCCTGATGTAAACCAGCTGGTGTCTGCAAGGGGCATTTACAGGATTATCTGCCCAACAACCCACTTCTACATCTGAGAATTCTGCCAGTCAGAGCTGACTGCTCCTGCAGAGGCCTCACAATCAATGCTGAGCGAGTCATTGTCTTCTCTGAGATTTTTGAAAGCGGGATTTGGAAAGAGACCAGTCTTTCTGAATGCCTGAGGCTACAATATGTATAGTTTGTTGTCCACTACAGAAAAAGAGTCAGTTTACATCAACTACAGTCAAAGGAAACAGACACTATTATACATTTTTCTATAATACTATGGATCAATACATTTTAACATTTATGGCCTAACAGGAGCACAGGTGAGGTCAACACCCTTGACTTTTTAACTTCCAATTGTGTATTTGTCCATTCAACTTCAGTCAGCCATGTCTATGTGCATTTGCTTGACATCATCATCACCAGCAACTGTACTTCCTTTCAAAATCAGATGCAAGCACCCCTTCCCTGCCCAATGATTGTCCTCTTCTCTATTAGAACTCCAAGTCCATCAATGACCAATCTGAGGCCTACACTCCACTGACCCTACCACACTTTCATTATCCATCACAGTCCTTAGGTGTCCCTTTCCTTCTTACCCATCCTATATTCCATTGTCCATCACATCTTACAACCACTCTTCACTCCCTTGCCTCATTCTCTTTCCAGAATACTTGCTTTGTTAATTCCCCAAACATGGTTACACTTCATTCTCTACTAAGCAACTGCAGTAATGGAGTTTGGCTGGAGAAAACTGATGGCCAAACAAACTGGTCTTTACTTTAAATGCATGAGGACAAATCTCAAATGAACACTCAAGCATTGTCCAGTAACCCTTCTTTGGGTATTTACATTTCCACTCTCTAAAATGATTATATCATATAGTAACCTCAAAGAACCAGCCTCTTTTTCCTATGCCCTTTCTCAATGATAAAATTACCCCCAATCCAACATCTTACAAGTGTCAACCTATGAAAATTTCAGTTCCTTACCTTCCTTTTTCCTCAGGCCAGTCGAATTACAATTCTTCTTTCCTCTCGTCAAGGTCCTCAATGATCTCCAGGTTTTGAAATTCAACCATCACTTTTCTGACTCCATCAATCATCTTGACAGCATTTGACCCAATGAACTACTCTCTCTTATTTGAAACATTCTCTTTCTTAGTGACAGTGATTCTACAATCTCCAAGTTTTTCCTGACCTCACCCACCACTTGTCCACAATCCTGATCTTTTTTGGTTTGCTTAACCTCTACATGTTTGAGTGACCCACCTCTATGTATTTTCTCTTCCTAGGTGATCACAGATGGCCCCAAAGCTTTAGAGGCTGTCTCTATTTCCATTAATCACTTCTGCATCCCCAGCTCTCATGGATCTGACTGCTCCAGACTCATATATCCAACTGCTTACTTGCCATTTACACTCAAACACTCAATAAGCATACAAAGCTTTAAAGTTTAAAGCAGAACATTTGATTTTTTATCCATATTTTTCCTCTAGTCTTTTCCATCTCAGTAAATTTCCTACCTATTGTTCAATCTGGCACCCTGGGAGTCATCCTCAGTGCCTTTTTTTATTCACCTTACCATCTGTATCCAACTCATCTGCTGCTGAAGTGCCTTGAAAATAGTTCCCAAACTTGCTTATTTTCTCTACGTCACCACCTCCAGCACTTAGGTATAAGCCTTTACTCTTGTGTTAATCCAATAGCTACCTAACTGGCTTTTCTGCTTCCAGTTTATCCCCAACTGTACACTCCCAATTCATTTTCCACTGCAGCAGTGATTTTCTAAAATAGAAATCAGAGCATGCCTATCGATAAATTCCCATTCCATTTAAAACAAACAAACAACAAACAAGAAACATCAACAATTTTAAAAACTCCTTCCTACGAAGGTCTAAAGGTGATCATGCATCTAACTGCTGTCTACCCCTCTGACTTAATCTACCACTTGCTCCCCACTGGCCACTGTTAGTTAAACATAAGTTCTTCTCAAACTTACTTGCAACCTTATTTACAAGCAAACTTACTTGCTTTTGCCTCCATCTAGAAAGTGGTACTCTTAGTTCACATTCCTGGCTCTTTCTCATCATTTGGATCTAAGCTCAAACATTACCTTCATAGTACAATCTTCTTTGACCATAAATCCAAATGAATCACCTATCCTACCATAGCCTCTACCATACCACTTCCTTTTATTTTCTTAATGTTTATCACTACATGAAATTATCCTGTTCTTTCACGTGTTTACTTCTTTTTATTATCTATTTCCCTCTATTAGAAAATGTTCCTTTATGAGATCAGGGATGTGTCTTTGTACATTGCTCTCTTCCAAGTGCTTAGAACAGTGCTTGGTGCATGGTAGACACTCAATAAATATTTGCTAAATGAATGAACAAATGACAGAAAAAAAATTACAAAAAAGTGACTATTTAGCAAACACTAATGAGGACGGAAACATAAAATTTTTTTAGGTCATTATCATTATCATTTAACATTAAAACATTTAGAAGATGAAATCTGAAACTCATTTTTGGATTATCAAAATGAAACTAAAATGAGATACATTTGAGTAATTTCAACTAGACTATGATTTGGCTTAAGAAGTAAAACAAAATCTGCTTCCATTTTGGCATTGTCAGCCTTTGACAATATAAATCACTGTCTCTAGCACTCTGGGGAATGAATGACATCTGGGAACTAATAAACTCTTTGATGCTAAAAGCAAAGAAGTTTCTCTTCCTAAGTTACATCAAGCATTCAACCCAAATAAACATATTACAATCATATTTTTTCTCTCAGCTTTATCTTTTAAACTATCGGAGACTGAACAGCCAAAATAGGATTTTGATAATTCTAAGGGACTATTTTTCTCCTGTTCTTATTTACTTTTGTCTCTTCCAGAACTCACATAGCATACACAAAAATTTACCCACTTGTACCACTCAGTTTTCATCAAAGAAATAATATTTGATTGACATAAACATATGATCTATAAACCATAAACCTGATCTTTAGTCCTTTGCACTGCATCAAATGTTGAAAATTACCTACAAACTTTACCCAGCTGTAGCTACCATAATTCAACTAAATAAGTGAAGTTTCCATACTTCTGTTGAAGAATTCCTAAAATTTGGTTTTAATTTAGAAGATATTGGCTTAGTCACAGGAGCCAGGTATATAATATGATGAGACTCTGAATGGTTTTCTTGTTTATTCCTGCCCACTGTTTTCAACAATAGACAATTTAGAGACAAATGAATAATCCCTAAACTAAAGGTAGATCAAAGCTTTAATCTTTAATCAAACCCATGTTCCCTTTTGATGATCATAAAGATTTTATATTGTTCTAGGGTAATGATGCCTTGCATTACAAGAAACATAGGCAATTCCTCCCAAATTGCCAAACTTATTAAGGTATGTGCTATATGCAATAAAATGTATCTATGCTAACTGGCATCACAATCAAGATATTAGAGGCCTGTCCATCAACCCAAAAGTTTCTTTGGACTCTTTTGTCATCACCCTCCTTCAATACACACATGCCAGATGTAAGCAACCACTGATCTGCTTTCTATCACTATGGATTAGATCTGCCTTTTCTAGAACATTCTATAAATTAAATGACCCAGCATTTATTATTTTGTGAGGTGCCTCTTTCACCCAGCAGAATGTTTTTTAGGTTCATCCAACTTGTTGTTTGTATCAATGACCTATTGCTTTTTTATTGCTAAGCAGTACTCCATGGCATGCACACATCATAACTTTTTTATCCATCACCTGTTGGCGGATAATTGGTTGTTTCCAGTTTTTGCTATTATGACTAAAGCTGCTATGAACATACGTTTACGAGTCTTTGTGTGGATGTAAGTTTTCATTCTCTTGGGAAACAAAACCTAGAAGTAAAATTGCTGGAGTCATATGGTTAGTATATGTTTAACTATATAAGAATCTGCCAAGATGTTTTTTATGTAAATGTACTGAAAATTTTATGATTGCTTTCCAAATATAAAACTTTAATACTGAAATTTTCAGACTCTACACACAAGTTTCCTCTCTCTGCCCTATAAAATGCTAATATGTTCTTCCCCATCTCCATAGAAATTCGGTGCACTATCCCACAACGAGGCTAAGGAGCACTGCTATATACATCATGTTTTATATAACACCTGAACTAATTAGATGGGGGGGCTCCCTTAACAGAGCCCCATGTGGATACCAAGGACTAGTGAATACAGCAAGAAGGTGGCAGCTCTCTCCAAGAGGGTTTATATGCAGCATAATCTCCTGTATAAGGTGTTATGGCTGAATTTTCCTAAGTTACCCCCCTACACAACACCCTAAAGACCCAGTTCTCCTGTAAGAGCTTCATACGACCTAACCCCACAAGATAATAGCTGGAGGTTTCCCCTGGGCTACCTCATCCATGGAGGCTTCATTCAAAGTAAGATATGGGAAGAAAAGGGAACTATCACCCAGACTTCTGAAAATGGAAACTATCACCCAGAGTTCTCCTAGGATCTCTCCCAGTGTTCTGGATGACAAAGCAACACAGGAAAATAAAAGCCAACCAACGTTGTTAAGAAATGCTCTGATTAAACTATGTCTCCAAATTTGGGAATACAGAAGTACCACCCATAAATAAATACGCTTGTAATTCCTTTCCAGGTTATTATTCTCTGATACATGAATATAAGCAAAGTCTGTTATTAATATAAAATATAATAGGCCATGGGACTTTGACAGTCAAATAATCCTTGTCTCCTAAAGCCATCACCTAAAAAGGTCTATTTCCTCACCTCTTGAATCTCTGGGCTGGCCTGTGACTTGCCTTGGCCAATAGAATTGTGGCAGAAATTATGGCATGGTTTTGCTCTCGTACTCTGGGTACTTTGCTGCTGTCATGTGAACAAGCCCAAACTACTCTGCAGGAAAGCAAGAGACACATGGAGAAGAAATGAGCCATGCCAGCTAAGACCACCCTACACCACCCAGCCCTCAGCATACTTGGCAGTTGAACAGAGACCCATAAGAGAGCCCAATGGAGACCAAAAGAACTTCCCAATCAAGGCCAGCCCAAATTGCTGACCCAGTGAATTGTGAGTTAAATGAGGGGCTACTGTTTTAAGCCACTAAATTTTGAGGGTAGTTTGTTATTTTGTGAAAGCCAACTGAGACACTGGTCAGTCAGGGAAATCCTTTCTTTGCCATTTTCAGTCTACAGATTCCCCTCCTAAAACTTTTTCTTAACTTCATGGCCCTGAACTTTGACCCACTTTTCTGGTTCTTAGTTCCTGCTTTACCTATGTTCTCCTTTACCCCTATACTGCTTATTATGGACAAAATTTTATCCCCCACTGCCCTCAAATTTCATATGTTGAAGCCTTAACCCCCAAGTACCTCAGAACATGATTGTATTTGTATTTGGCTGTATCTTTAAAGAGGTTATTAAGTTAGAATAAGGCTGTTGGGGTGGGCCCAAATCCAGTGTGATTGGTGTTTTTATAAGAAAAGGAAATTTGGACACAAAAAGAGGCATCAGGAATGTGAGTGTACACAGCAAACACCATGTGAGGACAAAGAAAGAAAGCAGCCATCTGCAAGCCAAGGAGAAAGGCCACAGAAGAAACTATACCTGCCAACACCTTGATCTTGGACTTCTGGCCTCCAGAACTGTGGGTTTAGGCCATCCAGTCTATGGTATTTTGTTATCAGTCCTAGTTCATTTTCATTACCAGTGGAAAAAAAAAGTGTAATACATTTCCCAGCTTTTTTCCCTGATAATCACTCTGATAATTCCTTTTTAACCTTCAAAAAAAATGTTAGAGGGCAGGAAGTAGGGGGAGGGAGAGCATCAGGAAGGATAGCTCGTGGATGCTGGGCTTAATATCTAGGTGATGGGATGACTTGTGCAGCAAACCACCATGGCACATGTTTACCTATGTAACAGACCTGCACATCCTGCACATATGCCCCTGAACTTAAAATTTGAAGGAAAAAAGTTTTAAACACAAAGAACCCAGATTTGTTGTAAAAACTGTTTTTAGATGTATTAAAAGGTACCAAATAAAAAAAAAATAAGTTCACCACATCTTGAGAAAACATAAAATAAAGAGGTAAAACTTCCAACTCCAATGGAACCTTGAAAGGGAATCCCTGTTGACAGTTTGGTATTTCTCCCTGCAGCATGCACTTTGGTTACTGACCTTCCATACTGCACAATAACCTCCATGAAAGGCACTGAGCACAAGCAGGAGACATGTGGCCTTCTTCTGGCTGCACTGCATCCTAAAATCCTTCCTTTGTTTGCAGAATTTCTGAATCAATTTTAGTGGCTAAAAAATGACAACTACTCACACTTGTGATAGATCTGAAAGCACACATCCACTGAAAGCAGCTTCATTCTGTACCCGTTTAATGAGATTTTAGTGTTGCTAGTCCTTCCACGCCCGTAGGGAAATAAACTCTCACAGTGGATGAATCAGACAGGAGACTGTAGTCCACACTTCCTCTGGAGATCCTTAAAAAAGGCTGCTTTATGGGATGACCTTTAAGAACCACTCTTTTTGTATATTAAACAAAAATAATAGCTATCATTTATTAAACTCTCACAATGTCTTAGGCACTCTCTAAGAGCATGGGGTTTGTTTTATTTTGTTGTTTGCACCAGATGAGAATGTTATCCTCACAGCGATGCCAAAAGCTCCTGCCAAACCATGAAGACCAAGGACCTAGTGGTGAGTTCTGGCTGGCCCGAGTCAGGCCTGTTGATATCAGCTGCCTCTTAGGAATCTGCTTCTCAGCATTCTCTCCATCTCAGCTTTAGGAGGTTCTGCATGGGCCCAGAAGTCAACCTTCTCTACCCATGAAGATGGCCCTGGGCCTTCTGCCCTAGCCCATTTCTTTCTTCCTCCTTTAGTTTGTCTAATCCAAGAAGTTCTCCCATTATAGTTACTGAAGTGTTTCACTCAGTGCTCTAGGCTCAGCAGTGTCTAATACATATACACATAAACACACATATACACATAAACACACATATGTACCTACTTCTAATTGTATTTTGATGAGGGTCAGCTGAAAAATACATGTGTCTCCTTCTTATAGCTTCCCATTGTCAAGGTATCCAGTAGTTAAAGCCCTTTTCTATCCACCCCCTAACCCCCAGGAACAATCTCTCAGCTTCCATTAGATGAGGACTTTAAAGACCATCTGGAAGTGCTTAAAGAGTAGTTGCTAAGGATCCACAGACAAAAGTTCTTTCCAAAAGGAAAATCCTACATAGTCTCCTCTACTCAAAAAGGAATGGTCTAGAGGTCAAACATACTGGAAACAAATGTGACTTATCCCAGGAAAATCACCTGCCTTCTTCCTTACTCTCTCTCATCACAATTCTGATTTTTTTCCTGATTTTGATGCCTGTATCACAGCTTTCTTTTACATAAGAGAAAGTTGTTTTCAAAATTGCTTCTATAATTGAAGGCAATAACTAGTACAGGCAAACATATGCATAAATCAGGACAGTGTCTAGTTATCACTGCAAATGAGAAGCTCATACATTTGCTCTTTTCCAAAAGGCTGCTGGAATATGGCCCCTTGGAATTCTAACAAGCAGCTTTAACTTAGCAGTCTGTGCGCTGGCTTTGCTTTGAATACCACTGATGTAGTTCTCATCAAGGTTTCCAGGGCTTCTAGAATGTAAAACTTTAAGCAAAAGAAGCCCTTGGATTGTAGCATGCCTATAATAACCCCATATGCAATCACATGATTATTTACTGGAGTTGCTTTCTCCTGAGCTATAATACCATAGTTGAAAAATCACTGCAGGACAAAACAATAATAAAAGTATTACATTTTTATTTATAAAATAAAACTCTTCCTTCAAGAGGAGCCCCCCAAGTAGCCAAAATAATAATGGGAAAGAACAAAGCTAGAGGACTCACATTTCCTGAATTCAAAACTTACTACAAAAGACACAGTAATAAAAACAGTGTGTCAGTGACATAAGTATAGGCATACAGAACAATGCAATGGAATTTAGAATCAAGAAATAAACCCACAAATCTACAGCCAATAGACTCCTGACAAGGGTGCCAAGATGATTCAATCTTGGAAAGAATAGTTTCTTCAATAAATGGTGCTGGGGCAACTGGATATCTACATGCGAATTAATGAAATTAGACCCCTACCTCACATCATATTCAGGATGGCTCTATGACTTAAATATAAGGGCTAAAAATCATAAAACTGATAGAAGAAAACACAGGGTGTAAATCTTAGGGTAATTCTTCATAAACTTGGATTCTTAAATATAACAACAAAATATGAAGGGATCTAACATATGACAAGAAAAGTGGGAAAAAAAGAAAAAATAGATACATTTGACTGTCAAATTAAAAACTTTTGTGTATCAAAAGATGTTATCAAGAAAATGAAAAGACAGTCTACAGAATGGGAGAAAATATCTTCAAGTCATATATCTGAAAAGGATCAAGTGCCCAGTACATATAAAAAAAAAAAGTCTTACAATGAATTCAACAACATCAAAAAAGCAGACAACCCACTTAAAAAATGGGCAAAGGGCAGAGAAGAGGTATAAATGATCAGCAAGCAAGTGAAAAGGTGAACAATAGCATCAGTCATTAGGGAATATAAAGCAAAACCACAAGGAGGTACCATTTCATACCTACTAAGAAAGCTCTAATTTAAAAAAAACAAACAAAAAAAACAAAAAATTAGTGTTGGTGAGGATGGAAAGAAATCAGAACACTTGCTGTTGCTAATGGGAAGGTAAAATGATTAGAATCCACAGAAATGTCACTGTGTAAAGTCCCAGGGACAGAGCACTATTAGGTAGGAAAAGGGTCCCAAAATGAGAATAATGTGATACAGTGAGCTCCTCAACATCGGTGCCTTGCAGACTCTTAATTCCTTTCTACTTGTACAGAAGAAAGAGCAGAAGCCCACAGAAGAGGAGGAATAAGTGAATTCATTAGAAATTAGTTCTGAGCCTCATGAAAATCTTGTTTTATAATATCAGCATCTATAGGAAAGGAAGGAAAATGGGGACGAAGATTCTCAGTATCTGCAATAAGAAAAGTCCTATAGATTCACCATCTCCCTGTCAATACTTCCAAAACCAATGAAAAAGGTAATACTGTGCTCATTTTACAGATGGGACAACCCAGGTCCCAGGTTTCAGAGCTCACATTCTTCCCACCACACTGTGATGTATCCAGCCAGGTGACAAATTTAAAAATCACCAAAATCATTCAGTTTTTCAATAAACTTCTACTTGCTCAGAAGAGTGAGTTAACTTCTATTTTTCTATTAGCTCAGTATGGGCTCTTTAACATACCTCCAATGCAAAAATGTAACGGCATCTATCCAAATTCTAGACCGCTTTATTATTACATGAGGAGTATAAAAAAACACAACTGTTGCAACAGTTTCTTACAGCTTATTTTTCACAGGAGGATTGCCTCCTCCCAGCTACCTGAATGGTCACTATAAAACCACCAGTCCTCCAGCCATACGGAAAGGGTCAGGAGATCACGTCAGCACTTTTACCAGCAGTGCCTCTGGAGTCTTCCTCAAACTGCTCTCTTCCTGCTTTTGTGACACTTGATTCCCCCCACAGGCCACAAAATATGGAAAGGAATGAAGCAGCTGATCTGCAAGGTGGTTGCAGCCAAGGTCACCGGCCGGTTCCTCTCCTGGGAGGGTTTATTTTAGTCTTCAGTCCTCAGCAAGCTGCCCTTTCCCACCTGAGGACAGCAAAGACAAGATGCCTGCTCTTCTTTTCATTTCAGAAAAGTAAAATAGTTAAGAACTTTTCAAATGCAACAATTTCCAATAACTTTAAACATTTTATTGATATATCAAAAAATAATCCAGGGAGCTGAACTGGATTTATATTGTTCCCTCTCTCTTATAGAAGCAGATAAAACAAAGCAAACATGCCCAATGCAGGGGAAAAAATCCATATTTCAGTTCTGGAAAAGATTCAGAATGCCCAATTTAACATGGGAGTGTGTGGAACAGGTGAGGAAACAAGAAATCCTATCTTTGGAATAAGTTCTTACTATTGCCACCACAAAGGCCCTCAGGAAATGACACAGAAAAACAACCGTAATACAATGACTTCAATAGCATACTCACAAGCAATATGTGACAAGCTCAAAGAAACTACAAAATCTAAGGGCAACGGCTAGAATTTTAGACTATTTTTCTAGACTCGACTGTTACATCTTTTCCAGGTCCCTTAAACCTTGAAGGTAAACTGAAGGTAGAACAATTAACAATGCTAATACAACCTTTTAAAAAGTTCACCTGAAAACCAAGACAAGCCTTAAGCATTTGTTAAGTAGGAAATGAACATTTTGTTTTCAAATGTATCCCACTACTATAATTTATGGTTAATGCTTCTCTTCTCTAACTTTTTCTTTTACAAAGTTGAAAAAAATTAATATTATGTATATTTATACAGCGTAAGTATATACTATGTGATATATATGGGTAGTATACCCATATACTTACCAGCTAGATTCTACAATGAACACTTTATGCTACTAGCTTTTTTGAATATCTAGCCCTTCATTCATCGGTCTATCCATCCATCAGCATTTTTTAATCCATTTCATAGTAAATAAGTTGCAGAACTCAGCATGCTTCACCTAAACTCTTACACAGCTGGCATTTCAATCTTTTCCAGTTGAAAGTATGACTTCACAAAAGAAAGGAGGGAAAAGAAAGCAAGTCAATGCTCACTATGCACCTAGTTTCAGAGCCCATGTTGAGGTAAAGATGAGATTGTGGCAAAGGAGAGGGATTTTCCTATGAAAACCAGGGCGAACAGTATTTGGTAGAATGTTGAGCTTAGCAACTGTTAGGAAAGTTCTCTCTCAAAGGTCATGGTGTTGGCCCCATGCTTTTCCCCTTTCCTTCTAATCACCTTGGGAAGAGAAACCCAGTTGGCCAGGGACAGCAAGAGACAGAGCAAAGGAGAATCAACCTAGAAATGGAAAGATGGTGAGAAAAACCTGGCAGTTGGCCAAACCGAAGAATTCTGTCTTCTGGAGATGACATCCTTAGGTGGAAAAGGTAAGACAAGTCTTTTCAGTAAGACCAGTAAGGGGTTAGAAAATTCTTCCTCCTTTTTGTTTTTGCTCTTTCTCTCTCCTCTCTCTCAATTGCTCCACAAATTAAAAAATGAGAGGAGAACAGCTGGGGTTGGTGTTTGCCCACTGCTTGGGAAGGCCTCTAACAATAAAGAAGGAAGATAATGAAAAATAAACAGAGGGCCAGGGTTGGCCATTTAGTGCCTAAGCAGAAGACTTCACATTTTGTTAAGGACTGTCCAGTCCAGCTTACTGGGTAAGGAGAGAAGAGAGAGCCACTGTATAGAAGGGTGCCCGGGAATGAAAGCTGTGCTCATACCACAGCGCTCCCAGAGCACAGCTCAAGAGAGCAAGATGGGTACAGGAGTGGCAATGGAGAGGGTCCCTGAGGCAGATGATATTGCCCAAAAATAGTTGCAATATTATCTTCGCACATTGTGACTTCAACACTCCTGTCTCTGAGAGTTGAACTCATAAGTCTCTTCCCTTTGAAACTGGGCAGACGCCATTTTGCTTTCCATGATTTCAGGTACCCAAGGTCAACCACAGTCCAAAAGTACGAAATGGAAAATTCCCGAGATAATTCATAAGCTTTAAATTGTATCCCATTCTGAGGAACACAATGCAATCTCTCACATCCAGAAGCATCCTTTTGTCTAGCTTATCCATGCTGTACACTCTAGCTACCCACTCATTGGCCACTAGTAGTTATCTTGATTATCAGATAGAAGAAATGTAACATATATAAAATTCAGTACTTAACACAGTTTCAAGCATCTACTGCGGGTCTTGGGACGTAACCCCTACAGATAAGAGAGGACTACTGTAATGTGATAGACGTGACCATGCATGACTTCCAAGGCCAAGTCATAAAGCAATGCTGCTTCCACCTGGTTGGACAGAATAATCACACTGAAGCCCAGGCAGGCTGTCCCCCTGCTCTGAAGCTGCCATGCTATGAGAATAAAGCTGCCCATGAAGAGAGACCACATAGAAAAGACCACATGAGACTGGGTGAGGAGGAAGAAACGCTGAGCCATACCAGCTGCCTGCTCTTCCAGCGTCAGCTGCCACCTGACTGCAACTGCATGAAAGAACTCAAGCCAGAAATGCACAGCCGGGCCCTTCCCTAACTCCTGACCACAGAAAAACTGAGAGGTAAAAAGGTGACTGCTGTTGTTTGCAGCCACTATATCTTCAAGTGACTTCTTACACAACAATAAATAACCAGAATAGGTCCCAACGTATATACTATATCATGGTGATATCTCATTTCATGTACTGCAAAATTCGACTCTTTGAGTCTGGTATCAGTTTGGCCACTAACTATACCTTTCTCATTGTATATGTAACACTCCAGCCCCATGAGTTTGCATAAAAGTATTATACCCAAACTTTTCTAGAATCCTCCCCCAAAACACACGATATACATATATAGATTTTTTTCCCATTGAAATTCCCTCCCTTTCCTCTTTAAAATTTTTCTACTTTCTACCCTCCATTCAAGGCCCACTATCTTCTAAGTGACCTTTGAAGGTTATCAGTGACATCTGAGCTGCCAAACCTAAATGTTTTAATCCTAATTCATGTACAACAGGGCACTAAATCCAAAAATGGAAGTAGCAATAGCACCTCAAGGACAGATCAGCTCACTCTCTCTGGACCACGGTGCTGCCTCATTTCCTTACTGAGTAGTGTTACCAAGCTGGGAGATTCAGAAGCACTGACTAAGAGTCTTATTCAAACAGAATAAGGCCTTTTACCAGAGTTTCTCTATAATATTCTAAAGTTGCACTGGCCAATATGGTACCACGAGCCAAATGTTGCTTTTGAGCACTGAAATATGGCTAGTCTTGAAAGCCGTTTTAAGTACAAAATATTCAGTGGACAAAAAAAGGTAAAACCTCCATAATGTTTACATTGATTAAATGTTGAAATAATTATTTGGATATGCTAAGTTAAATATGTAACTAAAATTAATTTCACCTGTGATTTTGGACATTCCAGCCTCCAGTTTAGGCTGCTGTAACCTCTTTCTTTTCGCTGTCTTAATGAAGCTACAAGAAAATTCAAAATGTTCTATGTTGTTCACGTAATATTTCTATTGGACAGTGTTGGCTGGTCTAGGACATCAGGTGAACAATCATGAAATTTTGTGCTGTACTGAATCGAAGGCACCCAAGAGGGCTGGGCACAGTAGCTCATGCCTGTCATCCTGGCGCTTTGAAAGGCTAAGTTGGAAGGATCACTTGAGGTCAGGAACTCCAAACCAGCCTCGTCAACATAGCTAGACCCCATCTCTACAAAAAAAATTTTACAAATTAGCCAGGTATGGTAGTGCATACTTGTAGTCCCAGCCTCTTAGGAGGTTGAGGCAGGAGGATAACTTGAGCCCAGGAGTTCCAGGGTGCAGTGAGCTATGTCAAGCCACTGCACTCCAGCCTAGGCAACAGAACCAGACCCTGTCAAAATAAAATAAAATAAAATAAAATAAAATAAAATAAAATAAAATAAAATAAAATAAAATAAAATAAAATAAAACAAAATAAAATAAATAAATAGAAGGTGCCCAAGAAACACTATATATTTCCCTTAAAAGCTTATGAAAAGAAAATACTTCCAAAGGCAAAGGTGAACTATTAGGAAATAAAATAAAGGATGGCTAAAAGAGATGAGAATGAAGAATAATGAAGTTAACCTGTGTGCCTGGAAATGTTCCTAGTAAGAATAATCTCCAATCATACAATCACATGACATCCTCACCTCTTCTTTCAGGGCACTGAAATCATTATCCATGATTTTACTAAGGAAAGCTTTGAAATGTCAAGTTTTCTATTTCTAAAACTCTAATATATGTAGAAATTCTACTCACTGAAAATTACCTAGGTGTCTCCCAACACTGCAATTACTTTAGGACTTAGCTCTTTGAACCAGTAGCTGACTCCATTCTCAGAGGAGGAAAAATAATCCTATGCAGCCTCTGAAAGTGCTTAACCTACACCAGGAAATGGGCTAAGGATTAAAAATGTGCCCGCAGGAGTGAGGCAAGGAGGAAGATGGAATGTGGATTGGTAAAGCAGACACTCTAGTGTCCTGCCCAGATAACACTGGGTCCCTTTAATCGTCTTGTGTGCCCTTTCCCGGCTTTTGTGTGCTTTGCTGCTAAGGGATGGTACCAACATTTCTTAAGAAAAACCTTCTTCAACCACCGAAGCTGCTTCACATGCAGATGAAGACAGCAGAGGTGCTTGGAAGTTTATAGCCCTCTCTTACCTGCCCACAGTCAGTGACTGATGCAGGAGTGGAAAAGCCCAGCTCCATTGCCTTGATGTGGAACAGACTCTAGGGAGCAATTATGTTCCAGAGCGGCCCACTGCACCCCCCAACTCTGCCCCCAGGATCAGGCTGGGGCAGGCACATTGCTTGAATCATCTCCCTGCTTGGCTTCTTCCCTTTCCCTTCCCTTCCCCCACTCACTAGTTTCTCCTGGGAGCCCTGCCTTGATAAACCACTTGTGCAGAAATCCTCTTCTCAGTCTGCTTCTGGAGAGCTCATCTCACGACTCTTGGCATGCATGAATGTGCTCTAAGAAAATGTGAAAGAAACCACAGGTTTTTGTGCTTGCTATTGTTGTACCATGGATAAGAGCTTCTGTAACACTCAAGAGTTTGAAATAACTAAAGTATTTACAGGGTAATAAGAAGGATCCTCATTCCTATAGAGCACTGCAGCAACCCTAGGCCACAGATCTTAGATCAAGAAAAAAATATGCTAATAGCTGGTACAACATATCTATGTCTCCAAGGTGTAAGAGAAGACAGGACAATGAGTAAGGCTCTAAAGTAGAGGCAAAATGAAAGAAAAGTCAACATTAAGTTTGGTGAGCTGCATGCCTAACACTAATGTTATAAATTCTGTATATAATTAATACAAACATTTTTTGAGATGGAGTCTCGTCTGTCACCCAGGCTGGGGTACAGTGGCTCAGTCTCGGCTCACTGCAAACCTCCGCCTCCTGGGTTGAAGCAATTCTCCTGTCTCAGCCTCTCGAATCGCTGGGATTACAGGCATGTGCCACCATGCCCAGCTAACTTTTTTTTGTATTTTTAGTAGAGACAGGGTTTGACCATGTTGGCCAGGCTGGTCTTGAACTCCTGACTTCAGGTGATCCGCATGCCTCGGCCTCCCAAAATGCTGGGTGGCATGAGCCACCGTGCCCGGTCTATAATGAATATTTAATTAAAACAATTTAAAAGGAAGAAAGCACCCCCAACATTAGATAGGTTTTTCAGAAGAACAGTGTATCTTCCAAACTAAAATGCCACAGGAGAGAAGTTATCAAGGGTTGTTTACTTTCTTTTCCTGAAACTTGAAAGCAGTTTTTGATTGGACTAAACTAAGGCATTCCTCTTCAGCAAGAGCCAATCTAAAGCTCCCAATGCAAAGGTCACTTAATGCAAGGGTGAGGATAATTCATCCAAAAACAGTCATTTTGTTCTCTAAATAAATATTTTCTATTTTAGGAGTTTATTGACCAACACTGTTTTGTTTTGTTTAAAAAAAAAAGCTAAATTGAACGTGACATATAAGCAAGATTCAAAATATACCTTTTGCCTTTATAGAAATAAGAACATATTCTGAATGCCTACTCTGCATATAAATAGGCCTTAAAAAATACATTTAGAACTAACATAGAGTCAGAGCTGCTCACCGTTGGAAGTGTGGGGAAGTAAAGCAGGCATTTCAAGACAAAACCAGAAATGCTCAGGTTCCAGAGTTTAGATGTTTCCAATTTTGAGTATGGGAAGATATTATAGAAGAATCAGATTTTAGTTCAGTGTTTTAAAAACAACTCACAATTCAAGATATGTAGCAAGTGAATGATGCTAGAGTAGAGGCCAAATGGTTTTATTTTTAGGAGAGGATGGAGGGACATATGGAAGGATTCTCTGGAAGAAAGGCAAGCGTAACATAAGCAACCAACCACCAGGTGACATCTGGGGCTCCAAGTCTAATCAGGTCCTATTGGGTGAGAACGAGAGTACACTGCCCATGTACTGTTTCAGCCCCAGGATCTGGAGCCATCCAAAGCCTCTGTAAAAGTTTTTTTTTTCGGAGTCTCCCTCTGTTGCCCAGGCTGGAGTGCAGTGGCGCCATCTCGGCTCACTGCAAGCTCCGCCTCCTGGGTTCATGCCATTCTCCTGCCTCAGCTTCCTGAGTAGCTGGGACTACAGGCGCCCACCACCATGCCTGGCTAATTTTTCGTATTTTTAGTAGAGACGGGGTTTCACTGTGTTAGCCAGGATGGTGTCAATCTCCTGACCTTGTGATCCACCCGCCTCGGCCTCCCAAAGTGCTGGGATTGCAGGCGTGAGCCACCGCGCCCAGCCAAGGCTTTGTAAAATTAAATGCATGGCATTTACACTCCTTAATGTAGAGGAATTTCTTCTTTGAACTTAAAATATTTAACAAAACTTCTGAGCTCTGCTGGGGTTCTTTTTTTGGACTCTTGAATCAAGTGTTTATATTCAATAAGCACATAACTCGTCATAGGAACCATTTATAAATACAGCTGATGAAAAATGACCTATTTAAGGATAATACAACTCTTAAACAGAGAAAGTGGATAGTCCAGATTAATGTGATGAAGGAGTGAAAAGCAGATGATGTGTCCACACTGATTTAAAGTCCCGAGAGAATTATTCAGTCCCTCCTACTCCCCAACTCCTCTTTGCCTACTAAGACATGGTTTATGAGTCATCCTTGGGGAGTAGTAAAAGATAGCGCACTTGACTAAAAATAGATAGGAACATTCAATAATAAATCTACTTTCTGGATATCTCTTGTCATCATTAAACACTGATCACTTAGAGAAGTGTCAGGTTGTGCGATTCTTCCTTCCCCTCATGGAAAGGCCGGAAGAAAATCAGCCACGGGCACTGCCAGAAGATAATGAAGTATCTCACATGATATGCAAAACGCTGGAGGAAAACACTCAGCCATTAAATGCCAACAGCCCAGAGGAACAGATCCTCCAGGAGGACCTATTAGGAGAAACAATAAAGTTGCTGGTTCACGCCATTACTATAAAATGACCTCTTGTTCCTGAAGGTAAGAAATGATACATAGTCCAAATGCTTTACTTGTAACAGCAATTTAAAAATAGCAATTTGAGCCAGGTTCGGTGGTTCATACCTGTAATTCCAGCACTTTGGGAGGCCGAGGTGGGCAGATCACGAAGTCAGGAGTTTGAGACCAGCCTGACTAACATGGTGAAACTCCGTCTCTGCTAAAAATGCAAAAATTAGCCAGGCGTGGTGGCATGCACCTGTAATGCTACTCAGGAAGTGGAGGCAGGAGAATCGCTTGAACCCAGGAGGCAGAGGTTGCAGTGAGCCGAGATTGCGCCACTGCACTCCAGCCTGGGTGACAGAGCGAGAATTCCGTCTCAAAAATAAATAAATAAACAAACAGCAATTTGATCAAGGGATTATAAAAGAACATGTCTCATATTCACTAGGATTCTGGCTCTGGAATACAAGTATTGGCAAGTTACAGTTTATAAATAAAACAAATCAGCCATATAAAGATATTTCCAGTTCCCCTTTTTGCGTTTCTTTAAAAGTTTGTAAAATGAACCATTAGGGGAGCACTGGAAGAATTTATTTACATCATCCCCTGGTAGTTCCCCCAAAATGGAGGATTTTTGCTGATAATGTACACAGTTGTGATTTTTCACATCAGTGGGAATCTTCTTAAGCAAAATCTGCACAGGACTGAAAACAAGTCACAGAAACATTTCTCCCCAGAAAGAATTGTAGACAATGATCACTTCAAAAACATGTGATGCTTACTAAATGCGGGCAACACTATTGCAGAGAGCAAGTAGAAAATCTAGCAAAGGGTAAAGTGCCCAAGGTTAGTAGTGAAATTAATAAAATTGAACCTAGAAAGTGCTGGGAGATCCTGCTTAATGCTCTGCCGCATCAAGGAAGATGTCTGTGAATCAGTTTTGAGAGGCATTTCAGAAGCAGCATCAGCCAGAATGAAGGGATTCATCTTACAGACTGAAAGTTCTAGAAACCTACAACCAAAGACTCTCCACACAGGCGGTAAAGTACTCACTGGGCAGCTCTGGACTGACTGCAGGTGATGTCCACTTCGTCAAACTCACAGCAGCACTGTCCTCTGAAACAGACACAGACAAGACAAATCGATGTAAAGGACTTTTAGAGTTTTCATGGAGAAAAACAGTCCTTTGCACTTCAAAATCAGAATCTAATGTAAATTTAAAAACGTCAGAAAAACAAAAAAAAATTAGTGGCATAAGTTGCAAACAAATGACACAGACACACAGTCATCATATCAGAATTATTACTGCTATACTCAGCCAACAGAGTTTATACACTCTCTCTACAATGCTGCTAATATCCTACTCACCCTCTTAATCTATTAAAATAATTAAGCAGCAATAGAACAACAAGGCTATCTAAAACCTTCTCAAAGTAAATATAATTATCTTTTCCTGATTAGCAGTATAATGTCCTTAGATGAACTGTAATTGGAAAAAACTCTTTTTATAACAGAATTACATCTATTTGCAAAGAGAGTCTTTTTTTATGGCTGTTTCCGTATTGTCTTTGTTATTAAGTTGTTTATGTTGATTCTGGATTTGACATTGGATTTCTGATTTGGCTGAAATCTAGATTTCAGGATCTTTTCAAGGTGGAGTGGGAGGAAAAGTTCCAGGTGGTGTCAGAAGTACACAAAAGTGGCCGGGTGCAGTGGCTCACACCTATAATCCCAACACTTTGGGAGGCCAAGGCAAGCAGATCACTTGCCTCAGGAGTGGAGTTCAAGGCCAGCCTGGCCAACATGGTGAAGCCCCATATCTACAAAAAAATACAAAAATTAGCCAAGTGTGGTGGTGCGTGCCTGTAATCCTAGCTACTCAGGAGGCTGAGGCAAGAGAATCACTTGAATCCAGGAGGCAGAGGTTGCAGTGAGCAAAGATCATGCCACTGCACTCCAGCCTGGGCAACGGAGTAAAACTCCATCTCAGGCCGGGCGCAGTGGCTCACGCCTGTAATCCCAGCACTTTGGGAGGCCGAGGCGGGCGGATCACGAGGTCAGGAGATCAAGACCATCCTGGCTAACATGGTGAAACCCCGTCTCTACTAAAAATACAAAAAATTAGCCGGGCATGGTGGCAGGCGCCTGTAGTCCCAGCTACTCGGGAGGCTGAGGCAGGAAAATGGCGTGAACCTGGGAGGCGAAGCTTGCAGCAAGCCGAGATGGCACCACTGCACTCCAGCCTGGGTGACAGAGAGAGACTCCATCTCACAAAAACAAACAAACAAACAAACAAAAACTCCATCTCAAAAAAAAAAAGAAGTACACAAAAGTAAGGGGAAGCCCATTTCCATATGGTAAGAAGGCAGAGGCAACTGATGACACCTGGGAAAACTGTGTCTATAAAGTTTGAATTGAAATTTGTGAAGGTCACGATCTATGTATAGAGATGACTACAGCACAGTCCTTTAATAAGGTCTCAGGTAGGTTGGTACATTCATATAATACAAGACTACACCATGAAAAACAAGAGAGGAAATCTGTACCTATATGAAAAGACATAGAAACAAATTCTCAGGTCATTTTATTAATTTAAAAAGTCTGAAGTAGTGTAGTAATATGGATACTATGGCTCCATTGTGTTAAGACAAACCTCACTAATCTATATGTAAATACACAGACATATATATCGTTATACACAAATAACGCATCTGGAGGGAAAACAAGAAACACTGAGTGTGGCTACCTCTAGCTCCCTCTAGGGGACCAGTACTAAAAGGAGATTTTTAAAGGGTAAGGTCTTTGATTTTAACCTAACATTTAACCATTATGTAATATTTTACCATGAAGCAAATAATTTTTATAATTAAAATGGAAAAAAAGCCAATTCACTCCAAAGTCTCTACAGAAAGCAACATCCCACTTCAAATATACAGAATTAGGGAATACACAGCATCATGTACCCTGACTTTACTAATTTAGTGACTATTTACTATGATGCAGGCTGGCTCTAAGCATGGATTGAATCATCATTTATAATCCACATAAAAACTCAAAAATGTATGTACTCTCATTTTATAGAAAAGGGAATGAAGAAGTTGAATATTCAAGAATCCCACAAAACTGGCATTCAAACCCAGGCACCCTCGCCCATGTTTAACCCCTACAGTGCCACTTCTTCCATGACATTTACCAGATTTTCAATCTTACATTTATATTTGTAATTATGTATTAATAATGAAGATACGACTCCCATGAAGACAGGGATTATGTGTTATTGAAAACCACTAGGTATTTCCCCAATACCTACCATAACGCCTGGCACAGAGTAGATGCTCAATAAATCTTTGTTGAATGCTGAATAATTAGGTGGCCTACCTACAGCTGGAATGTTAAACTATATGACTCTTTTATGTCTCCTGAGGCTATGAAACAGGCCGAGTTCCCAAAAAGCTCATTGATTAATGATCCTGCCATACCATGCTCCTCGTTTTGAGAAACCACTTGCTGCCCAAGTCATTTCGTAATCAAAGACTTAGAGACTGGACACATGTTTTCCCTTCTCTTCTTTAATTCCCTAGCAACTATCTAACATAAACTGCCTCATTGTTCCATAAACCTTTCTAATTCTGGGCATATATAAGATATTGCAACATGTGGGGAAGGCAATGTTGAAATACTTAACTACAAAGAAGTTAAGCAGTATAAGCAATTTGTCATGAACTATTTAGCTACTGGCATATCATAGCCAAACTATTGCAACTGACTTGGAGTTGTAGTAATATGTGAATGAAGACTCCAGCATACCAACTTTTCCTTTCAAATACTATTATTCTGGGTCATGAAGGGATTACATGGGGCTTTGGTAAAGAAGGGACTGTGTGCATGAGTGTGTGTGTGAGAGACAGAGGCTGTGTGTGTGTGTGTGTGTGTGTGTGTGTGTGTCTGGGGTGTTTATGTATGTCTTCCCACGTGTTTTGATCTTTCAAAGAAGAAAGATATTTTCCCATAATAGGTAAACAAAATTGCAAATCCCAGAGTTGTATCAGTGTTAATGCAAACAAAAGCTGTTTCATTCAACAAAGGTATCAAGACCATTCAATGGGGAGAGACAGTCTATTCAACACACGGTGCCAGGACAACTGGCACAAAGACCACATATGGTATCTCACACGCAAACGAATGAAGATAGGCTCCTACCTCACAACATGGACAAAAATTAGCTCCAAGTGAATCACAGAAGTAAAACTATAAAATTCTTAAAAGTAAATATAACATAGGAGTAAATCTTTGTGATCTTGGGTGGCACCATCCTTGTGACCAGAACAATGGTTTCTTAGGTGTGACACCAAAAGCATGAAGAACAAAAGAAAAAAGAAGATAAGTCGAACCTCTTTAAAAACTTTTGTCCTTCAAAGTACACCGTCAAAAAAGTGAAAAGAGAACCCACAGAACAGGAAATCTGATAAAGAACTTTTATCCAGGATGTAAGAACTCTTAGAACTGGACAGGAAAAAGACAAATAACCCAATTTAAAAATGGGCAAATGACCTGAATAGACATTTCCCAAAAAAGATATACAACCATGAAAAGATACTTAACCATTAGGGAAATATAAATCAAAGCCACAATGAGATACTGCTTCATAGCCACTAGAAAAGCTATAATCAAAAGACATAACAAGTGTTGACAAGAATTTAGAGAAATTGGAAACTTCATACACTGCTGGTGGAAATGTAAAATGATGCTGCTGCTTTGGAAAACAGTCTAGCAGTTGCTCAAATGGTTAAAAATGAAGTAACTGTATTACCCAGTAATTCCACTCCTAGATATGAACCCAAGAAAAAATGAAAACATATATCCATATAAAAATTACATGTAAAATTTCATAGCAGCATTATTCATAATAGCCCAATTGTAAACAATCCCAATGTCCATCAACTGATAAACATATTAACAAAACGTGTAGTACGTTCACATAATAGAATATTATCCAGCAATTCAAAAATGCAACACAGATACACATGACTACGTGAATTAACTTCAAAGAAACATTACGCTGGCTGGGCATGTTGGCTCACGCCTGTAATCCCAACAGTTTGGGAGGCCAGGGTGGGTGGATCACCTAAGGTCAGGAGTTCAAGACCAGCCTAGCCAACATAGTGAAATCCTGTCTCTACTAAAAGTACAAAAATTAGCTGGGTGTGGTGGCACACACCTGTGATCCCACCTACTTGGGAGGCTGAGGCAAGAGAACTGCTTGAACCTGGGAGATAGAGTTTGTAGTGAGCCGAGATTGCACTGCACCACTGCCCTCCAGCCTGGGTGATAGAGTGAGACTTTGTCTAAAAAAAAAAAAAAAAAAAAAAAAAAAAAAGTATGCTAACGGAGAGAAGCCAAGCACAAAGACCACATATGGTATGTTCCCATGTATATGAAATGTCCACTACAGGCAAATCCACAGAAACAGAAAGCTGACTAGTGGCTCTCTATGACTAGAGGAGCAGCATGGGATTTCTTTTTGGGGTAATGAAGATTCAAAGGTTAGATTGTGTTGATAGTTGCACAATGCCACGAATATATTAATACTAAAAACCACTGAATTGTACATTTTAAGTGAGTGCATTTTATGATATGTAAATTATACTTCATGAAAGCAGTCTTTTAAAAAAAGGCTATAATACACATAGTGAGTTTGCCAGTCAGCTTTTTCCAAAAATGAGAAAACACTCACATTCTTCAAGAAAACACAGTAAGTGATAAAATTTATATATATTAAAAAGTCTTATTGTGATTCTTCAGGGGATTCCTTGTGATGGAAAACATCCAATTTTATTTTACCCTGACAAAAGAAAAGCATACATATGGAACTGCCTTCAAGCCATAAGAAAACACCAATATTTTACTGTAAACCACCACTAATCATGCCACAGTGTTTTACATAGTCTTATTTCAAAGCAATGGGGAACTTTAGCCAAGGGTGAAGCTTTTATTTCTCAGAGGAGGAAGAAACCTACAAATATTTAAAGGTGACATTGCCATGCCTGTTTTAGTGAATCTATATATGTACTGAACACAAAAAGACTAGCATGTGATGTCCTCCCCCAAGATATTCAATATTCAGATTTTGTTTTAAAGTGAAGAGTAACTGGGCAAGGTTGAACAAAAACAGATCATTTTACTCTGACTTAATACTGAACATGGAAATGATTGTTTTGCAAGCAAACAGAATGTTGGAAAGCAGTTGTGTCAGTGAGATTGTGCAGTACAACAAAGACTTCAAACTTTTGTAGCTTAAATCAATAACCACTTATTTTGGTGTTCTCTAGTTTGCAAGAGAAGCAAGAAGGCAGGCCCCAAAGCACAAGCACTTTCCAAGCCTCTGTTGTATCGCATTGGCTAATATATCATTTGGCAAAACTAGTTACATGGTCAAGCCCACATTCAAAAGATAGAGAAATGGTCCCACCTCTTGATGGGGCACTGCACACTGCAAAGCCATGAATGTACAGTGGGGAAGACCTTGTGGACGTTTTTACAATCGACCATAGCATTATTTCCCAAAGCGGAACACTCTCCCACTAATGGTCCATGAAGAGATATTTTATGGTTTATTACACTTTATTATTAATGGTACAGTTTCCATGTACCATCTTAAAATACAGATATTTTACAATGGTACATGGAGAGGTAATGTAGAATGCATGGGCATTAGCACTTACCTTCTATTTATAGAAAATGGAATCATTCTTCTATTGAATGGGTACATAACTTCTATTGGGTACATAACTATAATTATTTACAGCTACTTATAATAGTAATGTTACCACATTACCATCATTATCATGGTTGTATTTTCTTTTTAAGCAAATACATTTAAGTGGAAAAGATGAGTCATAAGTTCAGGTAAAACTCAGATTTGGCCAAATCCATAAAAGTGATTCAGGAATAACCCAAGTTTAGAACCTAGTGGGGTAGGACAATGCTTCTCAAACTTTAACATACAAATCACCAGCATATCTGGTTAAAATGCACATTCTGTTTGACTGTAGGTCTGAGGCAGGGCCTGAGATTCAGCATGTGTGAAGCTCAAGCTCTCAGGTGATGCTGACATGACTGGTTCCAATGCATGCTGAGTATCAAGCACAGAGATGAAGGGCAAAGACCTGGCAGTCAGAAGAGCTGAGCACCATCATTGACCAGCTATGCAGTTTCAAGCAACTGTCTTCACCTCTCTGAAACCAGCTCCTATCTGTAAAATGCAGGCGGTGTTAGGACTCATCTTAGAAGTCAGGGTCAGAGTGAGACGAGATAAGAGGAGCAAGGCACCCAAGCAACACAGAAGGGATCAATGCCTGCTTTGTTCTGTAGCACCTAATGACTTCCATAAAAGCCCTCGAATGAATCGCAGGTTAAAAAAAGAAAGTGGGTGGGCCAAAAGGACACTGTGTTAGCCCAAATCATACCATGCCTAGACATTAAAAGTAATCAAATCTTAGAAACAAGTTTCACCAATGCAGTCATATTTTCTATATCCATGTAAGGTATTAATATGTTTATGTTTCCTCAAGTTCGTGCTACAATATTTATTGAGCACCTACTGTGTGCCAGATGCTGTTCTCAGTTTGAGTATATGGCAGTGAAAAAAACAGACAAAACTTCTAGAACTCATGGCACTCACCCCCTCCAATTCTCTCAGTCTCTGGAACTGCCCCCATATACTAATTCTCTAGGCTGCATTCACAGAGAGGCTGCCCATGGGCCTGATCTGGCCACATATATGTTTATATGAATCCATGGTGATCTTTTAGAGTTTGAGCCGGTTATTAACATTAAAAAATGAGAGACTACACATAAATATACAGACTCCCAGCTTCTCTTAGAAATTTGGATGATGTGGCAACAGAATGCTGCAGACAACTCAGCCACAGCTGAGAGGCATCTGTCCCCTCAGAGAAAGCTTGGGTTTTCAGATCCCCACAGCCCCCGCCCTCCAGAGCACTTCCACCCAGCCAACTCCGTCACCTATGTTCTCCTCTCACCGACCCAAGTGAGTGATCCCTAAATGAAAGCCCTCATCAGCAACATGTATAAGCATGGAAGGGAGGGGATTCCAACTTCCTATTCTGTATTTTTTCTTTGCCGTCATGCAGTAAACACCAAGAAAAAGAGCTACTTTAGCCATTCATTTCCCCTCCCGAGAAAGCATCTAAACTCTGCCCAGAAAACTTACCTCTATCTGTCATTTACTGTGGCCA
Organism: Homo sapiens; assembly: GCF_000001405.40. Lineage (NCBI taxonomy): Eukaryota > Metazoa > Chordata > Mammalia > Primates > Hominidae > Homo > Homo sapiens. The sequence goes on along the minus strand of NC_000020.11, from coordinate 9,210,247 downwards.
ACTGGCTCTACAATGCAAAACAGGGCTCTTTAGAGGAGTTCATTACAAGTTTTTTATGGGTGTTATTTTTCTCTAAATAATGGTAATGGCTTTGCAATTGCTAACCTACATTCTTTTGCCTGGTTTCCTTCGTGTATTAGTTTTCTACAGCTGCATAACAAATTGCCACAAACGTAGTGACTTGAAGCAACACACATTCATTAGCTCATAGCTCTGTAGGTCAGGAGTCCAGACATCGTTTCTGGGTTTTCTTTTTCATTCTTTTTTTTTTTTTTTTTTTTTTTGAGACAGAGTCTTGCTCTGTCACCCAGGCTGGAGTTCAGTGGCTCGATCTCGACTCACTGCAAGCTTCGCCTCCCGGGTTCACGCCATTCTCCTGCCTCAGCTTCCCGAGTAACTGGGACTACAGGCGCCCGCCACCACGCCCGGCTAATTTTTTGTATTTTTTAGTAGAGACGGGGTTTCACCACGTTAACCAGGAGTTTCTGGGTTTTCTGCTCAGCATCTTACAAGGCTAAAATCAAGGTGTTGGCTAGGCTTCATCCTTTCTGGAGGCTCAGAGAAATAATGTGCTTACAAGTTCACTCAGGCTGTCGGCTGGGGGCCACTCTCAGCTCCTAGAGGCCATCAACACTCCTTGTCACATGGCCCCCACCATCTTCAAAGCCAGTCATGGAGAATCTCCCCTGATGGAATCTTTCTCTCTGAATCGGTCTCTCCAACCCCTTTTAGGGTCCATCAAGGACAAACTTTTATTCTTAAAGTAAACTGTGCCATGTAACATAACTTAATCACAGGAGTGACATCCCGTCATAGTCACAGTCCTGGGGATCATACAGGAGATGTAAACCAAGGGGCAGTAGTCTCGGGGGGCCACCTTAGAATTCTGCCTGTTAACACCTAACTTAGCATGCATTTGTCATCTATGTAACTCAGGCTTGACTCTGCAGCTATGTCACAAGAAAAGCTAACTGACCAGCAAAGAGGCTAAATAAAACCAGTCAGTACATTTTTAACAATTCTCCCAAATGTTCTTGGACTTCCACATCTACTGCAAAGAATATCTGTACTCTACCAAGTTCTAAATCTATAAGAGATGTTTCTCCTCTTGACCTTAAACTAAATCTTATGAAACTAGATGTCTAGAAAAGTGACATTCTTTAAAAGCAGCAGCAAACACACACTCAGTACCTAGAAGGACCAAAAATTTGGGTTTCCTTTGTTTTGCTTTGTTAGGACAGGGTATCCAATTAATAACATGGGCCAAAATGTTTTAATTAAATTAGGTTATATTTTGTACATGGTGTTAACCAATTTAAACTGCTCTTTCATTCAACTGACTTGATTATTGGGAAGTTACACAGAGGCAGCATATACATAACCACACTAATATTTAAAGTAAAAGCAGGTCAAGTGTGGTGGCTCACGCCTGTAATCCCAACACTTTGGAATGCCAAGATGGGAGGACTGCTTAGGCCCAGAAGTTTGAGATCAGCCTCGTCAACATAGTGAGACTCCATCTCTACACAAAATACAGAAAATTAGCCAGAAATGGTGGCACATGCCTGTAGTCCCAGCTACTTAGGAAGCTGAGGTGGGAAGATTACTTGAACCGAGGAAGTCAAGGCTGCAGTGAGCTGTGATCGTACCACTGCACCCCAGCCTAGGCAACAGAGCAAGACCCTGTCTCAGAAAAAAAGAAAAAAAAAAAAGTAAAAGTTTAAATATAATTAAAATCCTGCTTAATATATCCACTAGTACATGGCTTATTAGATAAGACTTAAAAAAATGAGAATCCTCAAGAAATCTCCCTTCAGAAACATGTTTGGTTAGACAGCAAAACTGTCAGAAGCAAATAGTAATAACTACCAATCAATGAGAAATTACTATGTCCAGGTACCACTCTCAGTGTTTTATGTATATTAACTCATTATATCTCATCAAACTCTATGAGACAGAAATGGTTTATAGATGAGCAGACTGAGGCACAGAGTAGTCATCTCACTTATCCAGAGTCATATGACAGGTAAGCAAAGGAGCATGAATTCACCCCTGATGCACTGGCCCTGGGACCCTTCCTCTTAAGGCAACTGTCTGTGCATCCATCTGTGCTTCCACAGTATAAAATAGGGGCTATTTCTGCATCTATTATACAGCACAAGATGGTGGCCAAGCACACATGCATTGCACTCAGACAGATACGGCTCATGTCCATGACCAAGAGGTGAGTGAGGCCTGCAGCCCTGGAAAGGGGTACATTTCTGTAATTTGCGTTAAAATACCCTATATACCAGCAGCTGCCTTGTTCAGCAAGTCTATGAAAATCTCTTTAAAAAAGAAAATAATACAAGTATTCCTCTACCCCTGTGTTTTATTTTGAAAGAGGAAAGAGAAAAAAATATAATTGATTCCTTTTTCTCTCTTTTCTTCCTTCTAAACCCTCTTCCACTATGCACCATTTTGAAATTGAGAGATTATGAAACAATGAAAACACAGCAAAAGCTAACACTAGAAGCAAGTAAGAAACATGATTGGATCCCTTTCCTATTGTGGAGCAGATGGTGGGCCCTCCTCTAGGTAATGAGAAAGAAAAAATCTATAGTTCAATAACCGAAAACCTTTTCCATCGATTCTATCCCCCCATAGCAATGGCAGCACGGCACCACGTGCCACCAGCCACAGGCAGCACAGACCCTGAGAAACCATGCTTAGCAGTTGTATAATAGTAATAGGTCACTGGAGGTAGAGCTGGGGTGGGGAGTACAATACTAAATCTTGACATTTGCATTCAAGGCAGATTTGCTTTCAATGACTCATTTGCACGACTAGGTTGGACAAGTCCTTGTGTTAGGACATTTACTCAGTGATGTTTCTTGGTACTTGTAAGATGCTAACCAAGGACTGTTAATGTACTAGGGCCCCTTGCCTAAGGAGGTAAGAGACTAAAACTATACTTTAATCAGTCCTCTTCATGTTCTCCTACAGTTCAATCTCAGCCCCAGTGTCCTGTTGGTTACATGGCTGAGGTCACAGAAATGTATATTTATTTTGTCACAGAAACCTCCTTTAATCTGATGCTTTGTGGTATCGTTTGTTTTGGGTATTGGTTTTTGGGTTTTGTTTTGGTTTTTTAAGACAGAGTCTCGCTTTGTCTCCCAGGCTGGAGTGCAGTGGCACGATCTCGGCTCACTGCAAACTCCGCCTCCCGGGTTCAAGTGATTCTCCTGCCTCAGCCTCCCGAGTAGCTGGGACTACAGGCACCCACCACCATGCCAGGTGATTTTTGTATTTTTAGTAGAGATGGGGTTTCACCATATTGGCTAAGCTGGTCTCGAACTCCTGACCTTGTGATCTACCCATCTCAGCCTCCCAAGGGTATTGGTTTTTATAGGGTTTTGTTAGAACATCTCATGCTATATAATTTGACTTAAAATAGCCATCCATTGTATCCAGAACTCTTGAATACATTTGAGATGACACATAAACTTCAAGGTCCTTGGCTACTTGTGTTTGTCAATGATCCCTCAGAACATCCAAGCAGGGTCTTAGTTTCAGAAACTTGGATGTGTGCCAACCCAGGTAATTATTCTCTGCCTACCTAATTTCCCCAGGCAATTTTAATTGAAAATGGTAGTCTCCTTTACCTCAGTTCTAATCTGCTCTGAAGTGTCCCTGTGTCCTGTTTCTTCCCTCCTTCATAAGCTAACTGAGCTGGTTTCTTTTTGAAGCTTCAGTTGAAAAAGAAAAAAGTTTCTGGAGCTCCCAAGAGGGAAAATATCAGATAAATATGAGCCATTTAATTAGTCTCAAACCAGTGTGCTGAATGCCATGGGAGTGGTTGCAAGATGCCCCTCTGCTGCCTAACCTGATGAAAAGTTTCTTTTGTGGATAGAAATACAAAGGGTTTCTTACTGAAAAACTGACCAAAAAAAAAAAAAAAAAAAAAAAGAAAAAAGAAAAAAAAGGCAGGAGGAGGGATGTGGGAGGGACACAGATAATTTTACTCTCTTGAAATGATTTTTTTAAAGCCACTGCTCCCTTGCTTATTTCCAAATAACCTGATTTAAAGTTAGCAGAACAAAATACACCATTTAACACAGGAATACCTAAAGTTCCATGAAAATCTTAACAGAAATATGCTTTTTAATTACTTCTAACAAACATTCCCTTAAACCAATGCTGTCCAATAGAAACACAATGAAAGCCAGAAATGCAAATTACATATGTAATTTTCAGCTTTCTAGTGGCATCATTACAAAGGTTAAAAGAAACACGAAATACTACTCAACAATAGAAAGGAAATAACTATTGATAACACAACTTGAATGCATCTCAAGGGAATTTTGCTGAGTGACAAAACCTCATTTCAAAAGTTACATACTATGTGATTCCATTTCTATAACACTCTTGAAATGACAAAATTATATAGGTAAAGAACAGATTAATGGTTCCCAGGGGTTAGAGAGGAGAGAAGGAAGGGAGATGGCTGTGGCACAGAGATCCTTGGGATGGAATTCCATTTCTGACTGTGGTCGTGTCATAATGAATTTACAAAGGTGATTAAATTGCATAGAACTAAAAACACACACACACAAATGAGTGCATGTAAAACTGGTAAAATCTTAATAAGGTCAGTGGATTACATCAACGTCAGTTGCATGGTTCTGCCACTGTACTGCTGTTTTGTAAAATATTACCAGTGGGGAAAACTGGGTAAAGGATATATGAGATTTCTCTGTATTATATTTTACAACTGCATATGACTCTGTAATTACCTCAAAATTAAAAGTTAAAAAGGTAAATTTAATTTTAATAATATACAGATGCTCTAGATTTAGAATAAGGTTACATCCTGAAAAATCCATCCTAAGTTGAAAATACGGTAAGTCAAAAATACATTTAACATACCTAACATGCCAAACACCATAGCTTAGCCCAGCCTACCTTAAATGTGCTCCGAATGCTTACATTGGCCTACAGTGGAGCAAAATCATCTAACACAAAGCCTATTTTATAGTTAAGCGTTGAATATCTCACGGTTGTTTACCCTCGCAGTCACACAGCTGACTTGGAGCTGTGGCTCACTGCCACTGCCCAGCATTGCAAGAGAAACTCATTACATATGCTAGCCTGCAAAAATATAAAAATTTGAAGTATGATTTCTAAAGGATGTGTTACCATTTTTGCACCATTGTTAAGAGAAAAAATTGTAAGCAGAACCATCATAAGTCAAGAACTGTCTGTATTTTATTTAACTCAGTATACATAGAATTTTAAAATATAATCAATGTACATGTAATCAATATAAAAATTATTCAGAAATTTTAAATTCGGGTTTTTTTTTTCATTCTGAGTCTTTGGAATCCAACGTATAGTCTGCTACAACACATCTCAATTCAAATTACCCCCATTTCAAATGTTCAATGATCACACGTGGCTCTGGCTTTCATTACGGGGCGGCAAAAGTTCTTTAAGCCTAATATACATTCCCCAGTCCCATCCAGTGGCAGTCTCTTTAACATGACATATAGCTTTACTTCTTAGACATTTCTTACGTCACTGGTTCATAATGAAAGTCTTAGAGCGGCCGGGCGCGGTGGCTCATGCCTGTAATCCCAGCACTTTGGGAGGCTGAAGCAGGCAGATCACCTGAGGTCAGGAGTTCAAGACCAGCCTGACCAACATGGCAAAACCCCGTCTCTACTAAAAATACAAAAAAAAATAGCCAGGCATGGTGCTGCACGCCTGTAATCCCAGCTACTCAAGAGGTTGAGACAGGAGAATCACTTGAACCCAGGAGGCAGAGGTTTGCAGTGAGCCGAGATTGTGTCACTGCACTCCAGCCTGGTCAACAGAGCAAGACTCGATCCCCACCCCCGCAAAAAAAATCTTAGAGCTTGGATAGTGACTGGAAAATTTCACAAGTGGTACCAACTTGAATCTGCTTTGAACTACAGTTCCAATGATAAATAAAAGTAATCTCTATGAAAAAAAAAAGACTTTTAGTATCTTTTAAGAAATAAGAACTAAGTTTCAGAAACTATGTAAACTGGGCTCAACGACTCAACGACTAAGATTTTAACTATTTTGAATCTTTTTAATTTGTTTTTTTTTCTTCTCTTTGCTTTCCTATTTCCCTGTGGTGATTAGAAGTAGAATTATTAAAATAAGAAAGCCTTATGGGTTTCCTGTTCAGAGCCACGCAACTGTGGGACTCAATTTTCCTCTAAAGGCAGTCATGGGGGAGAAAGAACCAAGTGATCAAACGTGTGTAATGGCAGATTTTAAGAAATACATAAAATTAGGCCAAATCTCTTGGGACTCTGAAAAGTAAAACAGGGAACAGACATGGTTCTCAGACCAGGTCTAAGAAGAAGCTCCAGGTCTCAATCTCAAAAGACCAGTGCAATCTCCATCCCCCATTGCAAGTGACAAAGAAATGGGAAAAAAAAAAAAAAAAAAAAAAAAAACACTATTCCCAAATGGAGCCTTCGGAATATAGAGTGGTTTTGGGAGTGAGAGAAACCTATCTTTGAGAATATAAGTAAATTAACCTCTCCTGGACCTAGTTTCCTTGTTTGTAAAGCAGCAAAATTATCTACCTAACTCATTGTTGTGAAGTTAAATGGAATAATACACGAAAAGTGCCTATCACATTCCTGAAACCTGGAGTGAGTACTCAATTACATTCCTCTCCCACTCCTTTATTTCTGCACTGACATAACTATGCATATAGAGAAAATGATCTGTGCAAATTAAACTAAGAATAGTAGCATAGGAAACTCAAGAGCTGTTGCTCCAGAATAATGCCAGAGAGAAAAATATCTCATTTTAGTTTATTGTAAGTCACTTCTAACCTGCTGGTAGGAAGCTGGTTTCCTGTTCAATCTAGGTTTATAGCACTCTTAAGACAGCTGTATAGAAGCAGGGTGATATACCTAAAACAGAGGATCCAAAATAGTCTAGAAAACTGGAAACAGGCTGGTTTTACAAGAGATTCATGACCTCAAGGACCTTTACATTAGTCACATTCTCAACAAACATAAAATGTATCTACTAGCCAGTAAGTGAGAACAGAAGAAGAGTAAGTACAGCTTACAAGAACCCCCAAATGCCTAAAGTTCTCTAGTTATAAATTATATGTTTAGATTAGTATTTATATTTGTCATATATATATATATATATATATATTTTTTTTTTTTTTTTTACCAAAGACAACTGGTCAACCATCTGTTCCATGAGACATTACCTCATATGCTGGCCCACTGGGGCACAACACAGTGCGATACAGCAGTTACCTGGTTTTTGTTTTTGTTTTTTTGATGGAGCTGGAGTCTGCAAACTTTTCATGACCCAGAACACAGCTGCTGATGTCAGAGCCCTGAGACAGGTACCATATTGAAAACAAGGGCCCCAGATGCATAGCCTGGAGTAATTTCTTTGAAAAACAGCCTGCTCTGATTCTGTTTCCTATTCATTTCTATTTGGTTTTTATAAAGGAACTAAAGCAGCTGATATATCTACAAATTCGAAGTTGCAGGACAAGATCCCAGCCTTTGTCAGCACCACTACCACTGAGCTAGACCAGTCAGCTGGCAAGGTCCCTCTAAGGATATGAAACTGCTTCTGGGAGAATGTGGGAAAGCTTTCCACCATTGCTACCTCTGACATCAGAGCCAAAGTCCATCATGCCATGAATAATAACTGAAGCAGGACAAAGCCACACCAGGAAACCACGGCAACTAAAGTAAAATAAAATGGGGAACTAAGAGCAGATGTGATCACCCACCTAGGACATTTAGGATTCATCAATGCCTGGCATCAGAGGTATAACTGGTTTTAAAAATCAAGATAATTATTTATTTTTATTTTTAATTCACATGCAATAAAATAGACTCTCTCATGTGCAATGCTGTGAGTTTGGCAAATGCATACAGCCATGTAACCACCACACAATCAAGACATAAAACAATTCTATTACTTCAAAACTCCCTCAGGCTGCCCCTTTGACAGTCAGTCTCTCTTCCCACTCCCACACAACCACTGATCTGTATTCTTTTCCTACAATGTTGCCTTTACTGCATGGAATCATATAGTATGTAGCCTTCCAAGTCTGACTCCAGCTTCTTTCAGGAAGCGTAATGTATTTTGGGATTCATCTGTGTTGGTGCATGCATCACTAATTTGTTCCTTTTTACTGCTGAGTAGTATTTTATTGTATGGATATGCCAGATATTATTTTTTCATTCTCTAGTTGAGAGATACCTGGATTGTCTCCAGTTTCTGATGACTCTACATGAAGCTACCATAAACACTAGTGTACAGATTTTGGTTTATGCATAAGTTTCCATCACTTAGGTAAATACCCACAAGTGGCATGGCTGGGTTATATGTATTATATGTTTAACACTGTAAGAAACTGTCCAACTGTCTTTCAAAGTGGTGGCACCATTTTGCATTCCCAACAATGCATGGGAATCCCAGATACTCTGCATTTTCACCCACTTGGTACCATCTAGTTTTTTTTCTTCTTATTTTAGCCATGCTCATAGGTGTGTGATAATATCTCATTGTGATTTTTAAAATGATGACTCTTTGCAATCTGTCAAATGTTAGAGTACCATGTATTTCTACCTTTCTACCTTTAAATAAGTAATGTATTATTATGTCCTTTTTAAAAACAAGGCAAGAAGCCCAGACAGTTAAGTAAATTTACACAGTTATAACATGCAGAAGATCTGATTCCAGAAGAAATATTCCCTCTACAAGGTTGCATATATGTGCCTAATACCTACCAATATTAATATTACACCAATAATAATAATCACAATAGATTCCCATTTAGCAATAGGAAATAATTCTAATACATCATAACTTTTATGAGTATAAAAATCCTACATTATTGATAATGCAAACACATGCATATGCAATTATATATATACAGTACTATACACACAGGTACATTTTATTATAAAAGGCAGTTTGTCAAGCATATTGATAGTTTAAATTTAATTGCAAAGGGAGGAGCATTTAATATTTAGAAAACACAAAATTATACCAGTAACATTACATAATTGCATAATAATGATCTGATTATAAATATTAGCTGTTCCAAGGAAGATTTCCATTTTTAAACAACTTATTCACTTTTTATTCTGTTACTGTTTGTACTTTAAGAAAACTAAATATATGATATGGAATTTTTACCATGTCTGATTTCTTCCCACTTTGTTGTCATGTTTACCTGCCTTCTGCTGCTGAGGATCATTTTATGCATTCCTTATCTATTCCCATAGATGGAACAGGAAATTAAATGTCTTTCCATGAAAAATAGTTATTTTACTCATTCAACAAATATTTATTGCATTCCTAGCAAGCTGGGGGGAGGGGAGGGGTAGTGGTTACCACTTGAGATAACTGGCCTTGGCAAGGGTGTCACTCATGAAGTGACTTATGAGCAAAGACCTGAGAGAAGTGAGTGAGTCAGCCTCAAGAAGACTGAGAGGAAGAGGAATCCAGGGAGTGGGACCAGCAGATGCAAAGGCCTTGAGGGGAATGCTGTATTCTGCAAGGGTGAAGAGACCAACGTAGCTGGAAAACAGCAAGTGAAGGAGGAGGACACCAGAAGGGATGAAATCAGAAAGGTAAAAGGGAGTCAGATCACAGAAAAAGACAATGATTGGATCTGATTTTCAATTAAATGGGAAGCAATCAGAACATTCTGAGCAGTAGTTGCCTGGTCTGACCTAAGTTTTAAAGGAACACTTTGTCTTTTGGAGAACTGACTACGGCAGGGCAAGAACAAAGCACCGAAACCAGCTAACAGGCTACTGCAAGAGTCTGAATGAGTGATGACAGTGGCGTGGTCAAAGGCGGTAACAGTTAACATTGGGAAATGCTGTTGGATTCAGTACAGATTTTGAAAACAGAGACAACAGCATTGGTTGATGGATTGCATTCAGACGTGTAAGAAAGGGAAATGATTTCAAACCCAGCATTGAAAAAGTTAAAGAAACTACAATCACTTAGTCTGAAAAACAATGAATAGTTTTAACATGAATCTTTAAGAAGCTAAAACACAGTGACATACTAAGTAGCTGGTATCCATTTTTGAGAGTCAAGAGTGAAAAACGGGAAACTGAGACTGTCATTTTCAATAACTAACTTTGGGAACATCTGCTGCTATCACAGAGGGAAAGTCATTGAGAATTCTGAGTAAAGATCAAAATCAGAATACCATTCTCTCTCTCCTGCCCTTGATGACTTTTATGTAATATATTCCCAGTGAGCTATTGTAGGCTGAGATTGACAGGAATCAGCCAGAAGATGGATTAACAACAGATAAACAGGTTGACTGAAATGTAAATAGATGAAGATTAATGCAGTGGAGAGCATGAACAACATGCAGGAAGAGATAAGACTCAAAATAAGTAAATTGTAATTTTAAAAATTTCGCATGCTGCAACAATTGTCTGAAATAATAAAAATCTGGGAGACCTGGCATTTAGAATACCAATTTTTGTTCATTTCTCTCAGAAAATTAAGGATGCTGTTAAGATCAAAACCATTTGTTATGAATATAACCTAGTGTTTCAAGACTAAGAATAATGATTTTAAAGAAATTCAGGACAATTTCGAAGAACCAGAGAAACTGGAATTGTAAGTGGTACCGGACAACCTTCCCCTAGATTTCAGTGTCCCCACCATCTGAGATCCAAGAGTGAAAGAAACAGTCAGTGCTAGGCTAACAGGGTTCTCAGGATTCCATCAGTGATGGGAACATTGAAAAAGCCAACTTGGAATCAAATACTCAACGTACCGTCCTTTAGGTTTATTCTCAAAGTTATCTAACATGGGGTTTCTACACTGTTTAATAAATGCTTATTGAATGAATAAATGAAACTTTCCACCACTGTTGGGATGGGGAGGGTAGGAAGAAAAACACACCTCCATTTTTATATCCTTCTTTCCCAAGGCAAACCCAATGTACTTCCCTAGTTATGATTCTAGGGACTTGTCAAGGTGATTTAGTGTTACAATCCAGAGCTTTGAATCCTATAGTTCCAAAAGAAATGACACACAAAAAAGACTAGAGACTATTTTGGAATTTCTTTTAAAAGTACTTCAACATTTATTAACACTTACTAATAGAGTCCCCATTGGCAATATTATCTTCCTGCTCCTCACACCATGTTAAGAGTATAGACCAACCTTATCCAAGCACTTCTGAAATCCTAAACCTCTCCTATGAAATCACAAGCCATGTGATATCCCTCTCAACTTTGAAGATACAGCAAAGATTAAATGAGAGTCAAAATAGCCCTCTACTATTTTCATAGGTGGCCTTTAAAAAAGAGAATACAATGGTAAATCAAAATTTGGGAACACAGTGATATGCTGGTGAAAGAATTCATTGCTCATTCTTCTATTCCAATTTGACACACTGTCTCCTCTATTCCTCATGAGTAGGGTACAATCTTAATCATTCCCATCTCTGGAACTGAGATAATCTAAGGACAAGTGAGTGACCAAAAATATCCTATTAATATGACTACTCAGCCACATCACAGTATCCATTCCAAGATAAAAACCATAACTCTATTTAATAGCACAAAGCCCTACATTTATTTGCATCTTACATGTGATCATTCAGGAGACTGAAGCAGCTAGCTAAATCATTTTGACCTTATTTAATTTACCATTCTCCTTTCACATTAGTTCTGCTGCAGAAATAGGACTGCAATTCCCTTTCAATAACTCCCTGACAACTTAGGATCAGAAAGAATAAATTTACTTTGTTGATTCCCCATATTCCACAAAGAAACAGAACCAGTAATTGTAATACCATTTAATAGATGCCAACCTACCTTCTTCTCTTTCTTCTATTTTTACAGCAAGATAAATGTTGACCAAAAGTACACTATGTGATTTTTCTTTTGTTTCAGTGTTCTTCTACTGTATTTGTTTTGAGAGGGGGGGAATGTGTTCTAGTGACAGACACCTTTGAGAAAAAACATTGCTTTCTAGATAATAGTTGGCAAATACTGACTTAAAACAAAGTTAAGAAAAAGCTAAGTATAAATGATATAAAAACCTTAGTTATATCTCTGAGACTACACCTAGAGGGACCTAACATGTTTACCACAGGAATTCAGTTAACTTGCTCATGCAGAGTCCTTTTGTTGAGAAATGACAATGGTTCTCAGCTCAGAAGTTCTCCTGAATCAGCATAAGATTTTGTTTTTTTTTTTATTTTTTATTTTTTTATTTTTGAGATGGAGTTTTGCTCTTGTTGCCCAGGCTGGAGTGCAATGGCACAATCTCGGCTCACTGCAACCTCTGCCTCCCAGGTTCCAGCAATTCTCCTGCCTCAGCCTCCCAAGTAGCTGGGATTACAGATGCCCACCACCATGCCCAGCTAATTTTTGTATTTTAGTAGAAACGGGGTTTCACCATGTTGGCCAGGTTGGTCTCAAACTTCTGATCTCAGGTGATCCACCAACCTCAGCCTCCCAAAGTGCTGGGATTACAGGCATGCGCCACCGCGCCCGGCCTGGTTTAGTTTTATTTCTGTTTGGCAACAAGGGAGTTTGATTTAAGCCTCTCCAGAAAATTCCTATACAGGTCCCAGGGTGGTCTAGGCAGCAATATTCAATAAAAATAAAATGTGAACTATATGCATAACTTAAATTTTTTAGTTGCCACATTCGACAAGGTAAAACCAATTTTTAATATTAATATCTTTCATTAATCCGCTATATTCTAAATATTATTTCAACATGTATTCCATATATTACACAAAAATTAATGAGATATTTTACATTATTTTTTCATACTAAGTCTTTGAAATCTGATGTGTATTTTATACTTGCAGACACATCTCAACTTGAACTGGCTACGTGGTGAGTGCAAAATAGCCATATTGCAGCAAGTGGTGCCCATATTGGACAGCACAGGTCCTAGGAAAGAATCTGTGGAATTGCTTAATGGGTAGGCAGTGAGTTATGGGTTGACAATAATAAAATCTCTCTGTTACAACCAGGTGATCAGAAGAAAGACAACTGGAGAGGCCCACATGGTCGTTTACCTGGAGGCATCTAATAATTCTCTAAGTTCTGGTTATTACAAGAATTTAACTCTCCTCTAATCATTACAGCCCCAGGCATTTCACCCATTAATGTGCCAAGAGCTCTGTAAATAAATTTGTATTTTGTCACATTTGTGGAAAATATTAATCTACCAGTTTTCTTACTACACTGAGCATCTTGCTTTCTTGCATTTTACATTGCCTACATCTCTTATATTCCCTCTGGGCTTTGTCGCTATACTGTATTGATGAAATTCAAGTTTAAATTCAATTCAGAACTCTAGCTCTCATCTTGAAATCTAATCATGAGCTATACCTCAAGATAAATTTCTAAAATAACACCTCCGCTTACTGAGAACCTTTGTACTAAATATTCTGCTAGGCCCCTCATAAATAAAATCTCCAACCCACCAAAGATAGGCCTTATTACCCTCATGAAAGCAGACTAACCTGATGCTAGAAGAGGTTAATAACCTGCTCAAGGATCACATGAGTAGTTTTGGCTACCCCTAATCTTCATGACTTTCCACAACCCTTCTTTGCCTTGGTTGAGTAACAGCAGCCAATGTCCTCTTATACCTAAATTGTCCACCCAAACATCAGTATCTTTCCATAGCCTGAATTCTGAACACCAATTCCTACTTTATTCCTCTAGGAACAGAAACCAGCAAGGAAGCAACAACCATCTGTCACTATCGAGCTTGCAAGGAGCAGGGGAATAACTTTCCTTCATCAAAGTCTAAGATAAAGAAATTCACTGAGTGCCACCCACATTACACAATCCTCCCACCCAGTTGTCCATTTACATGCCCAGAAGTCATTTTAATTGCAAATTAGAGGTCACCCCTGATAATATGGCCCTCCTATTCCATTGTCAGGGCACTCTGGTCCCCAAAGTCATTAGTGCAAACTTGTTTCAATTGCTTTTGACTCTGCCTGCACACACAGATTTCTCTGTAGTGACCTCTGCTATAACAAGCTTCTGCTCCCCACACATAGACTGTTGCTAAGGAGAAAAGAGTTCTGCCTCTGTAATTACTACAGTACCTGAAATTCTTCTGTAATCTCTACCAGTCCTTTACTTAACATCAAGAGCCCTTTCTGCTTAAAACTGTAACGTCTGCTTTTTGCACTCCTAAGCAAGGCTCATCAAAATTTTTCTGATGCAAGGTTGTCTGAATCAGAAAAATTTTCAGGCTAACTTTATCTCCAAAACCTCTTTGTTTTTCAAAGCAGTCCACCCCTCCCCAGGCATGGTTTTGCCCCCACAGTTAGGCAAGATGAATCCTGAAGCCAGTTGTCTGAGACTGTATTAGTCAGGGTTCTCTAGAGAAACAGAACCAGTAGGATATAGAGAGATATATATAAACTGAGATTTATTCTAAGAATTGGCTCATGCAGTTAGGGAGGCCAAGAAGTCCCACAATCTGTTGGAGAGCCGGGAAAGTTGGTGGTGTAATTCAATAAGAGTCCAAAGGCCTGAGATAGGAGGTCAGGAGGATTGATGGGATCCCAGCCTGAGTCAAAAAGCCCAAGAACCAGGAGCACCGATGTCCAAGGGCAGAGCAGGAGATGATGGATGTCTAAGCTCAAGCAGAAAGAGAAGAATTCACCATTTCTGCACTTGTCTTCTATTCACCCCCTCAATGAACTGCTGATGATACCCACCTGCACTGGTGAAGACACTGTTTTCTACTCTGTCTACCAATTCAAATGCTAATCTCTTCTAGAAACATCCTTACAGACACAGCCAGAAATAATGTTTTACCAACTATCGAGCAACCCTTAGCCGAGTCAGGTTGACGTATAAAATTAACCAACACAGAAACCTTGCTCCTCAAAGGTGCCCACAGACCAGCAGCATCTGCATCATCTGGATGCTTGTTGGACGTGCAGAATCTACATTTTAACACCAACTCCAGGTGACTCATATCCACATTAAAGTGTGATAAGCCCCAGTTCCACACAAAGCTAAAAAGAATATGCGGGATGATTTTGCGAAAAACCAGGAAGTTGATGCAAACTGCAGTTTTTCATTTAACTTCTGTTAAGCAATGAATTATTAGGCTTTGTTTGTAACCCTATTTTTCTAGACTAAAATTGGACTAAAAATGAAATAGTTTCCAGAGAAAAACCAAACTTCCTAATTTGGTCTTAAAATCTTGCCATCGCCTCACTTAGTAAAGTAAAAGCTTACAGTCTGATCCATTGCTTACTGCACAAAAAGAGAGGCACTAACTACTAAAAGATTTCTGCAAAGAAGCATTAGGACAATGCATGAAGTAACTGTTAAGCAAGCAAACAAACAAATGTCTTCTCATAATTAGCAAGCCCCATGTATTTTCCTTTTATAATCACCGCAAATATTATTAGAATGATTTATGAGAGATACAATTTTACAGATGCATCCATTTGGGTTGAAGTAAGGAAATTAAAAAAAGGTTCTTTTTTTTTTTTTTTTTTTTTTTGAGATGGAGTCTTGCTCTGTCGCCCAGGCTGGAGTGCAGTGGCGCAATCTCCACTCACTGCAAGCTCCGCCTCCCGGGTTCACACCATTCTCCTGCCTCAGCCTCCCGAGTAGCTGGGACTACAGGCGCCTGGCCTGCCACCACGCCCGGCTAATTTTTTGTATTTTTAGTAGAGAAGGGGTTTCACCGTTTTTTAGCCAGGATGGTCTCGATCTCCTGACCTTGTGATCCACCCACCTTGTCCTCCCAAAGTGCTGGGATTACACGTATGAGCCACTGCGCCCGGCCCAAAAAGGTTGATTTTAAAGCTATGTGAAACTATGTTTTACAGGAAAAAAAAATGTAGCTAAAATTACCTGAGTTCACCCTCCAGTGGTTTTGTGTTGGAAAATACATTTGTAAAATACAAACATCTAAACAGTAAGGCCTATCTATTAATTAGACAAAGTGAGTCAATTTTGAGTCATTTAATCATAAGGAACACTCTTCACATTCTTGTCCCAACAAAGAAGTGGGAATCATTTTTTTCTAATGTGAAAATTTATATTTCACTTCCTATTATTTCACTATCCTACTCAAGGCAGTCATTTCTTTACTTATAATCATTCAGTTGTTTAAAAACACGAAACACCAAGTTCACAATGAATGTGTATAAAAAGAGTGATAGCTTCCAATTTTTTTTAAAAAAAAAAGCAGTTCATGCTTAAAGACACTATATCCCATACTTTAAAGAAGACAGTAACTTTGGTTTTGAAAACTGTAATATTCTGATCATGAGGTCTAATGGTCTAACACTGAGAAAACCTAGAATATAGATGAAAAGATGCCACAGTATTCAAAAAGAGATTGTCAAGAAAATTACCAACCAAATAGCCAAATACTCTCTGAAAGTTATAATGTTTTCAAGAATATAAACATTCCCAAAGATCAAAATATATGTTTATTATTTGTCTATTATATACAACATGACTTAAGAATCCTATTTTTCTTGATGCATGACTCCCATTTTTGAAATAGTAAAATTTTAAAAAGACATAGGTCTTTTTTCAAGAGTCACCTCTTCAGAAAGCTCTGTCCTACCAATCTATTCAAAATGGTGGCCCCAACTTGTCACTCTTCATCCCCTCACGCTTAGCACCCACTAATCTAATATTCACATACAGCTTTCTAATACAAATGCTGTGATTCTTTGCCTAAGAGCTTTCTCTAGCTGAGGAGTTGTGTTCATTCTGACACAGGGGGCAGGCTGGAAATAACCCTGGGCAGCTCTCAACCAGATGGATCAGAGTTAGTGGGAAAGGAACCAACCTGTGTCTTTCTACAGGAAAATTCCGAGGCATGTTCTACACTGGTCCTCAGTGGATTAGGCCCTAGTTGCACATAGTTGTAGTTTTTCTCTGTGAAAACAAACCATTTATTGGCTTCCTTCATGTCTCTGTCTCACTTTCTTACTCTTCTACCAGTATTTCCTGCGATCATCTTTCCAATAAGTCACTTGCACTCAAATCTTTGTCATGGCGTCTGCTTCACAAGGAACCCAAGATAGCGTCCATCCCAGCTCCTAGCACAGTGCCCAGCACATGGTAGGTGCTCAATAAATATTTGTTGAATGATGAGTGAACATGCATAGTTAACTTTCACCTTGGCAATGCTGCTGATCAAGAAGCATTTTGCATCTTGCCTGAAAGCTTGTTTTACATACAGATGATTAGCCCTTGTTTCCAACTAGAACATAGATTCTGAGAGGGGCCTGAGATCTGCATAGGCCCCTTTTGGGCAAAACTGCTAATTAACGGATAGGTGCTCCAACCTGAGCTATAGCATATAAAGGCTCTGTGTTTGAATTAAAGCTCTGCTATTACTGTCTTGACATTTTTTTTTCTTTTTTTGTTGAGATAGGGTCCTGCTATGTCACTCAGACTGGAGTGCAGTTCACTGTAGCCTCAACCTCCCAGGCTCAAGCAATCCTCCCACCTCAGACTCCTGACTTGCTGGTACTAAAGGTGTGCACCACCATGCCCAGCTAATTTTTTTGTTTGTTTTTGTAGAGACAGGGCCTCCCTATGGAGACCCTGGGAGGACGAGGCTACAGTGAACGGTGATCACACCACTGCACTCCAGCCTGGGTGACACAGCAGGACCCTATCTCAAAAAAAAAAAAAAAGAAAAAAAAATTCAAGACTCTGACAGCTATCTTTAAACCAAACACAAAACACAGGCAGGACCTTTCTGAGTCTAGAACCCTGTGCAATTCCACAGGTCACACATTCATGAACCTGGCCCTGCCAAAAACTCATCAAGAATAAAGTGCCAAAGACCTCCTAAGAAACCTCCCTTGGCACTGATTATTCTCAAAGAGAAATGACAGTGTGATCTTTTATATTAGGTTAAGTCATCACAAAACTATACAAGGTGTAACAGCAGAGATACCTGTGGGCAACTCTTCAGAGCAGTTCGGCTCATATCACCTCAAATTTCCCAAACCCCCATGGAATCAATCATGGCACACAGCTCCCTACTGCCGGCTCGATGGCTCACTCTGCTAGGAACTCCAAGACTGCAATTACCTTGTTGAGTCCCACTGTTTAAATACACAATTATATAGCTGAAAGAGATAGGGAACCTGCTTTTAGATGCAAAAGGTCTCAGGATCTATTTCAAGAAAATCCATTCACGTTAATCACTCAGTGGTCTGGTGGTAGCACAGCTAAAAAGTCAGAAGGGTTTGGCAGAAAAATGACAGAGGAGCAAAATAGCCTACTAGCATCATACCTAAGCTCTAAGGATGTGTATATTTAAAAAAAAAAAAAAACATACAGAATGAATTAATATCTGGACATAGCCATGACCATAGCAGACCTATAGAAATATATTCGAGATGGAAAAATGGTTTAGCACCACCTGTACCTGTGAGATGCTTAATATATTTTGGAGGTGCTGGAGGGGAGAAGGGAGAAGTAGTCTGTGTATTATAGATCCCTAGCAGAGGGACTCGGGGTATATTTCCAAACAAAACTGACCACAGACCATTGATTTGCCATATAACTGGTAGGACTAGGTACCAACAGGACAGATGGAGAAATAGCAACTTAGAACTCACTTAAAATCCAACTAACCACTGATTGTGTTAGTCTGTTCATGATTCTATAATAAAATAGCACAGACTGGGTAAGTTATAAATAATAGAAATTTATTTCTCACAGTTCTGGAGGCTGCAAAGTCCAAGATCAAGTTACCAGCAGATTCAGTGTTTAGTGAGGACCTGGTCTCTGCTTCTAAGAGGGCCCCTTGAACACTGTGTCCCTACACGGTGGAAAGCAAAAAAAAAAAAAAAAAAAAAAAAAAAATGCCTATCTAGTTCCCTCCAGCCCTTTTATAAGGTCACTAGTCCTAAAGATCACTTCTTAAAGATCCCATCTCTTAGTCCCATCACCACACAGCAGTGTTTAAGTTCCAATGTATGAATTTTGGACGGAGACACACATTCAAACCATAGCCCTGATATTCCATGTAATTTATTTTACTACTGTATGCAAAATACTTCCTAAGGTTCATGTTTGTGTTCTATCCTGCTATAAAATGCAAAAGAAACAACTGTCTCTGCTTTGAAATGTTAGTATTTAGCAGAACTGCATTTCATGAAAAATTAGTCTACTGAATTAAACTCTGCAGGGTATAAAATACTATACTATTACTTCATACTGGAGGCTTCTAAACCATACAAAATCACTTCAAAGTATATCAAGGAGGAGGGGGTTAGTAGTTAGACATGTCTGGATTTAAGTCCCTTTCTGTCTTTTACAGATTGTGTGACCTTGGGCAATTAACCAAGCTCCATGAGCTTCAGGGTCCTCTTATTGTAAAAGGAGAGCATACCCACCTCTCAGGGTTATTGTGAGGGAGAATACAGAGAATAATCAATATTCTCAAATACAAAATGTTCAAACCAAGCTCTCAATGTCCCCAGGAACCTGCTCCTTGCCTGCATCCTCCCTGCCCAGGCCCACATCCTCGTAGTTATTTTTGACTCCTTCTTTATACCTGGTCTCCAGTCTGTCAGCAAATCCTGATGGTTAATCATTCCAAATATCCAAAATCTGATTCACTCCTGACCAACCCCAGCTCTATTAGTCTGTTCTCACACTGCTAAAAAGAGCTGCCTGAGACTGGGTAATTTATAAAGAAAAGAGGTTTACAAATTGACTTACAGGTCCATATGATTGGGGAGGCCTCAGGAAATTTACAATCATGGCAGAAGGCAAAGGGGAAGCAAGGACCTTTTTCACATGGTGGCAGGAGAGAGAAGTGTGAGGGAAGGCACAAGAGCACCTTATAAGATCTTGTGAGAACTCACTATCATGAGAATAGCACGGGGGAAACCATTCCCACAATCCAATCACCTCCCTCCCTTGACACGTGGGGATTACAATTTGAGATGAGAGTTGGGTGGGGACACAGAGCCAAACCATATCGCCAGCCAGCCCCAGTCAGCTTCTAGGTATCCTCACCTCCCAAATGGCCATGTGCTAATTTTCTTCCCTGGTCCCATCTTTGTTCCCCTTCAGCCAGCCAGAGGACTTTCCTTAAAATGAAAGAACCACTCAAATTAACAAAGTCCTTACTTTGGTGTGAAGCAGTGGTTCTCAACCAAATGTGAGTTTGTGCCTCCGAGGACATTTGCCAATGTCTGGAGACACTGTTAGTTGTCACACCTCGGGGGTGGGGGAGAAGGTGTGCTCTATGGTTTAAAAGTTTGTGTCCAAAATTCATGTTGACACCTAATCCCTAGTGTAACAGTATTAAGAAGTGGGGCCTTTAGGAGGTGACTGAGCCATGATGGGTCTATCCTCATTAATGGGATTAGTGCCTTATAAAGGGGCTAGCGCAAACTAGC
This sequence comes from Homo sapiens, assembly GCF_000001405.40. Classification (NCBI taxonomy): domain Eukaryota; kingdom Metazoa; phylum Chordata; class Mammalia; order Primates; family Hominidae; genus Homo; species Homo sapiens. The sequence continues at coordinate 9,189,798 of NC_000020.11, read as the reverse complement.
CAGGTCCTTTTGCCCTTCTACCTTCTGCCATATGAAGATGGAGCAACAAGGCATCATCATGAAGCAGAGAGCTTCACAGACACTTAGTCTACTGGCACCTGGATCTTGGACTTCTCAGCCTCCAGAATTATGAGAAATAATTTTCTGTTGTTTATAAATCGCCCAGTCTGTGGTATTCTGTTACAGCAGCATAAATGGACTGAGACAGTATGCTCCTGGCATCTAGTGGGTGGAGTCCGGGGATGCTGCTAAGCATCCTACAGTGCATATGACAGCCCTCCACAATGAACAGTTAACCAACCCAGAATGTCACTATATGACAGCCCTCCACAATGAACAATTAACCAACCCAGAATGTCACTATAGGACAGCCCTCCACAATGAACAGTTAACCAACCCAGAATGTCACTATATGACAGCCCTCCACAATGAACAGTTAACCAACCCAGAATGTCACTATATGACAGCCCTCCACAATGAACAGTTAACCAACCCAGAATGTCACTATATGACAGCCCTCCACAATGAACAATTAACCAACCCAGAATGTCACTATAGGACAGCCCTCCACAATGAACAGTTAACCAACCCAGAATGTCACTATATGACAGCCCTCCACAATGAACAGTTAACCAACCCAGAATGTCACTATAGGACAGCCCTCCACAATGAACAGTTAACCAACCCAGAATGTCACTATAGGACAGCCCTCCACAATGAACAGTTAACCAACCCAGAATGTCACTATATGACAGCCCTCCACAATGAACAGTTAACCAACCCAGAATGTCACTATATGACAGCCCTCCACAATGAACAGTTAACCAACCCAGAATGTCACTATATGACAGCTCTCCACAATGAACAGTTAACCAACCCAGAATGTCACTATATGACAGCCCTCCACAATGAACAATTAACCAACCCAGAATGTCACTATATGACAGCCCTCCACAGTGAACAATTAACCAACCCAGAATGTCACTATATGACAGCCCTCCACAGTGAACAGTTAACCAACCCAGAATGTCACTATATGACAGCCCTCCACAATGAACAGTTAACCAACCCAGAATGTCACTATATGACAGCCCTCCACAATGAACACTTAACCAACCCAGAATGTCACTATATGACAGCCCTCCACAATGAACAGTTAACCAACCCAGAATGTCACTATATGACAGCCCTCCACAATGAACAGTTAACCAACCCAGAATGTCACTGTATGACAGCCCTCCACAATGAACAGTTAACCAACCCAGAATGTCACTATATGACAGCCCTCCACAATGAACAATTAACCAACCCAGAATGTCACTAGTGTCGAGGCTGAAAAGAAATTGAAGTGGTCTGAATTCCCCTCCACCTCTCTGAATCAACCAGTCCTACTCCCCAACCCTCTCCAAGTTGAAGAAGGATGTCCTTGCTGTTCCTCGCACATGACAAGTGACTCCCACACAGTGCCATTGTTCCATCCGCCTATAATGTTCTTCCCATTGTTACCTATAGGGCTAATTATTTCACCACCTTCAGGCCCCTGCCAATCACCTTATTTTAAATTACAATTTCCCTGGCTTTCCATCCTTCCTCCCCTGCCTAATTTCTCTGCATCACACATTACCATCTGGCACACTTTTCATTTTATTTTTTGTTCATCTGTCTCCACTCCCTGGAATGTAAGCTCCACGAAAGCAGGGACTTGTGTCTGATCAATTCATATTATATACCTGGCACATAACAGTCACTCTTTGCTGAAATGAATGAAGAAATGTGTGAATGTTATCTTCTAGATGTAACTGAATTGTGGCTGGGAGAAATCTTCTAGTTTGAGAGATTCACTACCAGAGCCATATTTATAACCCATTTTGTATTAAAACTGAGAGACCTATAAGAATAATTCCCAAATGAACGCAAAATGCCTTCATGTAAAACACATGGAGAATAGTAAGAGGAACATGGACAACCCACCCTTGAATCTTCTTTCAATCACAATTCACTCATGTGAAGGGTTAAACTATAGGATGATATTTGCCTACGGAAATTATCATTTTCCAACTAAAACTTAGTTTCTATCAGTGGAAAAATACAACTATAATTTTCAGAAGATAAAAGGACAGAATGTTTAAAAATCTGGACAGTTCTAGAACTCTGGCCTATACAGTAGTTTTATTTCCAGAGCCCATTCAACCAGTAATGTTTCACGGTCCTATGAAATACTTACTGAACCCATACACAGCAAAGTTTTACACATAGGGTCAGATATAACGTAATCCTCACCCTCAGAGGGTTTACAGTCTGGCATGGAAGTTTACATAGTTATGTCCTTGAAATGAAGCAACGCACACCACGAAAACAGAAGACAGAAGAGTAAGTGTCTGTGATAAAGGAGGTACACAGACAGTGTCATTAGGGTCCTCAGCAGGGGTGTGCAAATGTTTTAGAGCAGGAAGTGGTGCTGGTGTTTCTTGAAGAGAGAGCACGGCAGTGGGTGGAGGCATGGCTGTGTTTTAAAGTGACAAGTAGGCCGGGCATGGTGCTCATGCCTGTAATCCCAGGACTTTGGGAGGCCGAGGCGGACAGATCACTTGAGGTCAGGAGTTTGAGACCAGCCTGGCAGACATGGTAAAACGCTGTCTCTACTAAAAAAAAAAATACAAAAATTATCCAGGCTGCTGGTAGGCACCTGTAATCCCTCAGGGAGGCTGAGGCAGGAGAATCGCCTGAACCCAGAAGGTGAAGTTTGCAGTAAGCTGAGATCACGCCACTGCACTCCAGCCTGGGTGACAGAGCAAGACTCCATCTCAAAAAATAATAATAATAAGTAAAAAATAAAACAACAGGTAGGGAAGTAGCAGGAAAGCAAATAAAAGGGTCACTGTGGCCAGGGCACCGAGGTCTCAGCGTCTGAGGCAAAGGACAGGCAAACCATCAGAGGCAGAACTGATGGTTTCATTGGGGGTTTCCTGTACCTTCAGGAGGCAGCTGGGCTGGAGGAAAAGAAACTCATTTAGATAAACAGGCTGGGAAGAGAAGCACAAGATAACTAGCTAGAAGTAGAAGGCACCTGCAGAGAGAAAAGAACTCAGTCTGCAAAGTGGACCTGGACCACACCACTGGAAAGGAGAAGAGGCAGCAGCTCGTTTGGCACATGGCAAACCGCTTGAGTTGTTCACACCCAGAAGGCACAAAAACGGCCAGACAGGAAAGACAAAGAAGTGAATTCACTGGATGCCATGACCTCGGGACAATTCAAGCCACTTCAAAAAATTAAAACACCCAGTGTTTTCTTTGGGTTTACTAGTTGGTTTCAGATAAGTGGAATTAAAAGTACATGATTATTTTTCCATAGATGTTAAAGTGGCCCTTTCCTGAAAAGAGCCTCGTGCCAATTAAAAACCTCTGAGGATCAAATGGAAGCTTCTGGAATGAGTTGGCAGAGACTAATCTGTCATTATAAGAAAAAACAATCAGAATGGGTTTTGACAAATACTATTTTTTAAAAAACTTTCTTTTGACTCTTATCTCATGAGTAGATATGTAAAATGTGAAGTCTGAAACCCATACCATAAAAGAATGGCTTTAGGATTTGTTAAACATGATTTTTTAAAACAGGCATCCAAGGTCAAGGGACAATAAGGGTTCACCCACCACACCACCCTTGAATGGGCGTTCATTTATTCAGCAAATATTTACTGAATCACTACTATGAATGAGGCACTTTTCTAAGTGCTTGGTGAACATCAGTAAATAAAACAAAACTGCCACCACTATGGCACTTACATTCTAGAGAGGCAGTAAACGCTAAACATGATAAATAAATTATACCATATATTAAAGGATGGTAAGTGCTGTGGAAAAAGCAAAAATAGAGAACGGAGTAGGGGTTAATGTTAATAAGAAATCTAGCTTTATAAATGAGCAAAAACTAAGGAAATGAGAGATTTAGCCATGTGGATGAGTGGGGGAAGGCAGAGCATTACTGGGAGAGGAAGCAGCCACAGCAAAGACCCCAGGATGACAGCAGAGCAGCGAGGAAGCCAGTGTGACTAAGCCCAGTGAGCTAGAGATGAGGTCACGCAAAAAGGAGTCAGATCACACAGGCCTGGTGGGTCACGGTAAAGACTCTGGCTTTTACTCGGAGTCAGATGAGGACCCCTTGGAGGGCTCTGAGCAGGGAGGCTCAGGAGCTGACTTACACTTAGTCAGTCACTTTCGGTGCTGAGTGCAGAACAGGCTACGGAGAGGGGTCAGTGTGGGGAACAAGCCAGGATGAGAAGAGACCAGTCATCCAGGTGAAAGAGAACCTGGCTCAGGCCAGGATGGCAGCAAGGGAATTAGTGAAAAGAAGGTGGGTACATTTTGAAGGTAGAGCAGACAGAATTTACCATACCACGTGTGAGTGTGAGAGAGAGGAGTCAAGGATGATTTGAAGAACAAAACTGAATAATATGCCCTTTCTAAATTTCAGTATAAATAAAAAAAAAACTATAGAAAATGTTATCACTCAGTCAAACACTAGGTTTCTATTTAGCACCTGCTATTTAATATGGGATTCCCTTCCAGGGAGTTTTTCCACAAGGAAGCAAAGTCTTAGGCTGGGCGTGGTAGCTCTCACCTATAATCCAAGCAACTTGGGAGGCCAAGGCAGTATGATTTTTCAAGGCCAGAAGTTCGAGACCAACCTGCACTACATAGTGAGACCCCTACCAGTGGGGCATGGTGGCACACACCTGTAGTCCCAGCTACTGGGGAAGCTGAAGCAGAAGGATGGCTTGAGCCCAGGTGGTCAAGGCTGCAGTGGGCTATGATTGTGCCACTGCACTCCAGCCGGGGTGGCTGACAGAGTGAGACCCTGTCTGAAAAATAAATAAATACATAAATAGGTAGTAAACTATTCATGGGCAGATGGGCAGCTAGCTGCAAGTTTCACTTAGGTGTGGTTCTGTCCCAACAAAAAAACTAGAGTATTTTACAGTAGGGCTAGCATTACACAAATTGAATGTACAACTGTCAAGATTTTTAAAACAGCTCCTAGATGCGTGTGTTATATGTATACAACACATAAGATCACCTGACAGCTCATAAATCGGTTCATAGTGGCGATGTTTTATTTCCGTAAGAGTCAAAACTAGTTGAATAAAAAAAAATTGCCTCCTAATCATAAAAACCAGAGGTTTTTTTTTTTTTTTTTTTTTTGAGGCACAATGCTGGGTCACCACCCTCAAATGGTTCCTTTCTATATTAATTTAATTTCAAAACAACATAAAACCTATGAGCATAGTAATGTTATCAATCTGAAGCATTTCTAGAACTGAAGAAACCATGGATGGCTTCTCAAATAGAGCACCTGCAATGACATCACGACACAGTGTCCACCATGCTGGGGGTTTCACCTGGAACTTTAAAGAAAGTGCTTATGAAGGTAAAGGAAACATTCACCAAAAAACCACTTTGACTCATTCTGAGCCAAATAAAGCTATCTACTCAAGTAAAATTTGAAAACCCAGCTGAAATAAAGCCATAAAAGAAGCTAAAGAATGCTGATCCCTTTTCCGTTTTTTCCCATGACCACAATACTGAGGTGGTCACCTTTGAGCAAGGATCGCCTTCAGAATCATTGCAGAAGGTGGTGGGGGTTGAAGTCAATGTAGGAAATAGGATGCCTTCTACCTTCAATTTAATTCCTTCTTTGAAACGTCCCATCTTCTGGTACCTTCCAATGGCTTTAGATTTTTAAAATTAATTTTGCCTCTTTTTGCAGGAAAAAAATGTAAACTTGCAAAAACTGATAGTGCAGGGAAAGTAGCTCACGTTAAAGCAGATTCTTCAGTTTATAAATATATTTACTATAGAATTTTTTAATAGCTTCATAGATTAATCCACTTGTCTCTGGTTATAAAGACCCAGGGTATAAATATGTTACAATGAGCTATATGAAGTAACTAATATTTAATCATTTTGATCAACAAAAACAGCAATTTCGTATGGTTCAGCCTAATACCAGTGAGGTATCAAGATATCTGATGTAAAATTAAAATAATATTTTTCAATAACACATACAAACAGGAAAGTGAGATTCCATTTTCCCTAATTCAATTTGTATACAACTTTAAACGTCTGTATACAATATTTCCAAAAACCATTAAAAAACACTTAAAATATTACTTATCACTAATTATAACTACAAGCAAGAGAAGTTGAAAATAATGATAAATTAGACCAGCATTCTTATCTAAATAAATATCTCCAGCTTGATGGTCCTTTTTGATACTACTCCAAAACTGAAACTTAAAAATCTAGCAGCTTTTCTTCTTTCTTATGTGTGGTGATGGAAAAAAATTTCTACGTCCTCTGTGGTATCACAGCCCTTTCCCCCATGCCTCCCGCTCTACCTGGTTTTAGAGTTGCATCTCCATCTTGTTCTGGAGAAGCCTCACCAGCCCTCATCACTTCCTCCTCCCCAGAACTAACTGAGGGAGGGAGGGAAATGTGGCCGTTGTGTAGTGGGAGATGGGCTTAGTGACCCAATCTGGAGTTACCCCATTATGCTTGGGGTACCTTGGCTGGGACACCAACAATACAGCACATTTTCACGAGATAGGTGAGCCCCAGGCTTCCCTGGGCTGTAAGAGGGACTTGGGCTGGAGAGTTAGAGAAAACTCTGGGACACCACTTATGTTTGGACAACATCCTCCGGGGCAGGGGAGATTTCAAATGGTGCTCTCCCTGTAGTTTAATAGACACAGACAGATTCTTCCTAGCTGTGCTGTGAGGCAGAGCAGCGTGACTCCCTGACCCCTGCAGAAAGACACGTTGAATCCTGAAGTCACTGAGTGGTAGCTTCAGGCCCTGTAAGCGTATTCTTCCTTGTAAATATGATGAAAATGAGCAATTAGATGTGACCAAACAGAATAGGTATTTATTACTTTTCTTTCACATGATCCCCAAACTGTTGCTGCTGGTGGTGTCTCAGAGCATGGGAAGGACATGGCTGAGACAGCTGAGAAGGGAGAGCTACACCAGGAAGCCCCTTAGCCTGTCGGCAGAGGGCCAAGGTTTCAGCACTGGGTGACCCAACTAGTCCCAGTTTAAAAATCCGAAGTCCCATGTCCTAGGCGCCTGAGCTGGGAGTTCATTTCCTAGAGACAACAGGCCAACCACCTGCCCTTCAATCTCTACCTCTGCCAGAAGCTCCCTGTCACTTGCTATTACAGCCCTGCTATTTGTTGAGGAGAAGTCTGTAAACCACCCATCCATGCACTCAGTAAATACTACAGATGCATCTTCTGTAATAGCTCACAGGTTCCCGGGTTACTGAGACTTGAGTTAGGCCTAGCGATGATTGAGCAAATTCCCCAAAACCCTCAATTTTAGACAAAAAACGAAGAACATGCCTCCCGTAGACACTTCAGCCTGGTATAATGGGTAGCTTCCAGCACAGCCAACTTTAAAGAGTTCTTTTAACTGTGAGAGCCCCAGAAGCAGGTGATTGATAGCCTAAGGATAAGAAAAAACCCTCAACCCTTTACTCACTTTACATGGGGTAAACCAATAGTCAGCAGCTAGCTACAAGAATGGAGCCCAAACCTGAAGACATTTAAAGGCAAAGAAGAACCAATTCTTCAACAAGGTAATTCTTATTGCTATAAAACCACTCCAGCTAATGATCAATTCATTTATACAAAACTTATTTTTTGAACATTTTCCACGGGCCAGGTTATAGGTGAGACGCTATGGACAAAGAACAACAAAACAGACACCGCCCTCTCAACTCCCACTCTCATGACTGTTGCTAAAATCTATTACTCACTTTGCCCTTCCTTTTCTCAAAATCATTTCATAAAATTAGCCCAAGGTCTGAAAGCAATTTCCTAGAACCCCTATTATTGATCTTCTTTCTCTCTTTTGGGAGACTGTATTGGTGTTATTCTAAGAAGCTCTACAGAACAATTATTTGTCTCACTTTGTTGTCCTAGTGAGATTGCTAGGGACTGAACATTTGTGTCCTCCACTCCCAAAATTTCCATAATGAAGCCCCAATCCCCAGTGTAATGGTATTTGGAAGTGGGGTCTTTGGGAGGTAATTAGAGTTGGATTAGGTCATGAGGATGGGGCCTGTATGATGGGATTTACAGCATTATAAAAGAACAGAGACAAACACTCTGCCTCCACCATCCCCCCGACCTGAGTGCCATGTAAGGACAATGACAAGACCATCTACAAACCAGAAAGAGGGCCCTCTCCAGACACGGAATCTGCAGGCACCTTGACTTTGGACTTCCAGCCTCCACAACGGTAAGAAATGGCTTTTGTTTATAAGGCACCTAGTCTATGGCATTTTGTGATAGCAGCCTGAAGTAAGAGACTCAGAAGGTATAGGGAAAAACACCTAAAAAATTAGGACTTGAGGAAACACTTTTGATTGCTAGGGACTATCAAGACTTACTTTCAGATACACCTTTAACAGTGATCAATATGGCAAGCAAAAACAATGCTTGGTACCCTGAGCCTCATCTGACAGACACCTCATAACATCTGAAGTCTGTTTGCAGAAATGAATTAGATCAGCACCATTTGGGAGGTCTCAAAAAGACTAATATCATGAATAGAATGTTAGTGAGGAGGGTGGCACAAAGTGCATGAGGCCAAAGACTTTTGATGACCCTCTATGAATGGCAACCCTTAGGACATCTCTGATGGCTTTATCTTGGTCAGCTATTCAAAGCTTGGTTAAGGTCATAGTTTCCAAAGAACTTTCTCTGCATTACAATCAGGCACAACATATGGGTCCTGCAGCTTAAGTGCCTCACTCACAGGGGACTTATCATCTCCACAAGTCTCACTGTAGCAGTTGGCAAGCCCATATGGGATAATAAATTCAAGGACATTTGTTTATTTTTGTGCTCAAATGCTTAAATAATTTTGTAGGAACAAAGTTTTCAAGGTATCACAGAAATAGCATCCAGACAGAATCACATTCCAAACTCCTTTCTAATGAGATGATTCTTGGGAAATCTGAGGAGCTTTTTCTTGCAAAATTTGCACCTGAAAGTCCTTGAATGGGTGAAATGGGCGTGAATGTGATCTTCAACCAAGGGAGGAATTGAGAACACTGAAGTCATCTGCATAGTCTTTGTGGCAAGGTTGACTGCACTCTAGCAGCTTAGCAAGAGTCCCACCTTTGTGTGAAAGGCAGCAGTTATATCAGAAATTACTTATTCCCCTGTGCAGAAAGGAATTGAGGGTTGTAACACCAGCCATGCTAAACTGAGTTTAGGCAAGATGTAGCCCTAAAGAACTGACTTCAGCATGCATCCTTCCATAGACCAATCCCATATGATCACTAACTAATAAATGCCCCAATTTGCAGAATTCAGATCGTAGCACCAGCTTTATAATGGAAAAATCCCCCATCAAGAGGCTGATTCTACTTGTGAGATTTAAATCGCTGAACAATGAGTACTAATGGTCTTTTTTATTTTGAAATTGTTTATTGTCAGAGTATAAGCTAGCCGATCTTGACTAATACACCATCATTTTTATTATCCATAATAATTACTATCCATAATAATACCAAGGCAGAAAAATTTTTATTATGATGAATATTGGGGCCACAAGATTGTTAGGACAATACATGCTCCTGTTCAGAACTTTCTATTTCTCTTACTTTGATGCACAGTGAGAGATTTCATCATGAAAATTCCAGAACATATGTTGATTTATGTCTAGCATTTAGAACTAAACATTCCTAAACAAGGCATCTGAAGCACAGCACATGCTTGTGTTTTATAGTGAATTCTATGTGTGTTTTTACCAATAATTCTTGTAGGTGGTTCTCCTTTTTTCCCCTCATTCTCACCAGAGAAGGAATTTTATGGGGATAGTGGTGTGTTTTGTTTCTTTCATTTTATGCAAGGCAAATAATTTTAGAATTTTCAAGCTGAAGAGAACCTGAGATAATCTATTCTAACCCCTAGCTTTGAGGAAGAGGACAGTGAGGTGTAGAGAAATGAAAACAAGCAAGTTCATATAAAATGTTCCTTCATAACAGCTTTCTCTCATTCACTAAAACAAGCATGTACTCAAAGAGGCTAAAATGCCCACAAGTCTAGACTGCCAACCTTTGGCATACTTAACTCAGTATCAAATGACTCATCTCCTTCCTCAGTGGAAAACCTGGGTAAATCTGCTGTATTCGTTTTCTATTGCTCCTGTAATAAAATTCACAAACTAGTGGCTTTAAACAACACAAATATGTCATCTTACAGTTCTGTAGATCAGAAATGCAGCATGGATCTCACCTCTAAAATCAAGATGGGAACAAGGCTTCTTTCCTTTAAGGAGGCTCTAGAGGAATCATCCATTTCATTGTCATTCAAGCTTCTAGAAGCCACCCACATTCCTTGAAGTAATGGGGCCATGAGCCAAGGAATCTCATGGCCCTATTACTTCACCTTTGAAGCCAGCAATATTGAGTCTCCTGCTCCCTTTCATGCTTTGAACTCTCCCTCTCTCTTCTCCTCACTGTTTTACTTGTTCCTGGTTTACCATCACCCCAACCTCTATGTGCCACCCTATCCACCTGCACAATGGAAAAATACCCTTTCAAAGCCACCAATCTTATCAAACAGTCCCCTATTCAAAATCCTTCAGTGATATCCCATTACCCATAATTGTGGTCCTCAAAAAATCTGTGCCTATACCCCTCTAGACAAATCTAGAAAAACTCACCAAAAGTCAATTTTAAGTTATCTTCATTTTTTATCATAAGTTCAAAAGGGTTGTTAAAGATATAATTTCTAGAATGTTCTAAATGTTGACAATTTAAACATAATAGCTGTTAGATATACCTAAATGTATCTAGAATGTAAACACCAAAATTATTTAAAAATAAGCAAGTTCACACTTAACATTTATGTTTTATAATGCCTTTTTTCTATTTCTTTTCTACCTCCCCTGCAAAATTTTATCCTAATGAATACATTTTTGTGGCTAAAAGTATTTTATTGATCTATCATATATCCCTATATACAACAAAATATATACATAATTTAGAATTTTAAGTTTAAATTTACTTTGAATTTAGCCCCTAAGGGTGAAATAATGTATTTTAATTAAGTTATACTAAAGTTTTCACTGGTAGGCAATTGACAAAAACCACATAAATATCATAAATATTAATATAATTTTAGTAATTATTAAATATAAAACTTTACTTGAAATATATCTTTTGATAAAATGGATAGGGCTTTTAAAAAATTAATCCATACATCTATGAATATTACTTAATGCTAAAATAACAAAGTTTTACCATCAATTTTATTCCAGTTTTTCATTTTTCTTCACATAAGTGCTGATAAAATGTTTTTGCCCTAAGAAAAGTTTCAATCTCTGAACTCCTTTTGAGTTTTATGCCACCACAGAAGGTGATCCAAATTCAAAATTATTTTTATTTATTTATTTATTTATTTTTTGAGACAAAGTCTCACTCCTATTGCCCAGGCTGGAGTACAGTGGTGCAATCTCAGCTCACTGCAACCTCCGCCTCCCAGATTCAAGCAATTCTCCTGCCTCAGCCTCCCAAGTAGCTGGGATTACAGGATCCCGCCACCACAGCCAGCTAATGCTTTTGTATTTTTAGTGGAGACGTGGTTTCACCATGTTGGTCAGAATGGTCTCGAACTCCTGACTTCAGGTGATCCACTGGCCTCAGCCTCCCAAAGTGCTGGGATTACAGGCATGAACCACCTGGCCTGGCCAAAATTATTTTTAACGATTTATCAACTGATGATACAAATATGTTTTAAGCACAGTTTTGTTGCAGAACACGGTGTTTTTCTGTTTAGCACTTGGAATGTTTTTATACCATAGGACAATGTACCATATTAATATTTTGGAAAGATGAGATAAGTATCTTCCTTCTACAAAATGAGATGAGGACAGGCAGGTGTTAGGCAGATCAGTTTTAAGAAAGGGTATACGTAAAAGTTTAAAACATGGAAAGTAATCCCTTAAGAATCGCTGAGCCCTTGCATGTATTCCATTAGAATATTTTCATTTAGGCCCAAGTGTATGCCTAAAGTCATCTTGAAAACAAGTAGGATCAAATCAAAACGTCTTTGCATACAACACAATGTCTTTCATGACTTGATGCAAGCTCACTTTCCATTTCCCACCCTTATCCATCTACACCCCTTTTCCAACACTAGCTTGAGAAACTGAATTACTTACATTGGTTCTAAGTTGCTTTCAAGGGGAACATGTGTCAAAATGACTTCCTCCCTTGATTATACTTTGCCCCCAAGCCTACCGCTATTTTAGACACAAGAGATGAGTCACTGAAATTTATACCAGCACCTTGGCCCTGTCTCAGTCCAGTCCCGAGGCTCTGCTTGGTATTCGACACAAATTAACAGCAGTAGTTTAATTAGTTATCATATCTTTAGGATAAAATCTGTAAAACAAACCCAAACCCATTCAACCACATCGTTTATTCCCACACTCCAGGAACACTATTCAGCAATTCCAGCATTTCATATATAGAGACGAGGTTATTTTTATTACTCTGCTCTCCTGCCCCTACTAACATGCTGCTTTTATTTCTATTGGATATATTTTTTCACATTCTGCTTAGTGTCACAATGACCTGTGTATAAATCTGACTTTTTCTGTCTCCATGGGGCCACAGCCATGGGTTCCATCTTCATTTGATTCCTTATTTGATTTCCAAGTTCCAACCACCCCTCCTTGAAAAATCTTTCTTTCTTCGCCACCAGTCCATCATTGTTGCTCCTTATATAATCATTCTTTCTCAGTTTCCTCCATTTGCACTCCCTTTGCCCACTGCTTATCCCAGAAGTTCTTAAACTTTGCATGATACAATACCAGAAGTCACAGCCCCAAAATTGTGGCAGTTATCTTTTCCCAAGTCAGAGGGAAAAAAGCTTCTAACAGTTTCCTCATGTTAGAGTTTCTATTATTTTTCTTAAAAGTTTGCTATTTGACTGTCAGTAATGGCCAGCAAATGACTAAAGTAAACAAACACTAAGGAAAACACAGAAATTACTTATATGTAGTTTAAGGGTTTTGTGTATATGCTCATGGGTTGGAATTTTATGCATAAAGTAAGATCTTATATTTTACTTTGAAAACTGGTGCTTCTTCATATGATATAATAAAATATGTATACATTTCCCTGTTTGTGTGTATGTATATACATTTACATATGTGTGCATAATGTAAATAAATATGCAGTAGATATCAACATAAAATTAAGGTTTTTTTCTATTTGTCTGATAATACATGTAAAAATGGCCTAGTGAAAATACTCAGATACTGCTGGATGGAATGAAAATAGTTCAACCATTTTATAAACCAATTTGGCAGTTTCTTACACATCTGATCATGCGTCTACCACCTCACCCAGCCATTCCATTCTTATTTACCCAAAAGAAATAAAAACATGTTCACACAAATATTTGTACACAAATGTTCATAGGAACCTTACTCTTAACAGCCTGACACTGGAAATATACACATGCCCATCAACAGGTAAATAAGTGGTAGTATGTGCACACAATTGAATATTACTCAGCAATGTAAAAAAGCTATAGAGGAAACAATAGCATGGAGGAATCTCTGAAACATAATTCTGAAAGAAAAAAGCCAGATAAAAAGAATACATAGTTCCATTTGTATGAAATCCCAGAGAGAGCAAAAAGAATCTAAAAGTGACAGGAAAGCAGACTAGTAGTTGCCTGGGGCCAAGGGGTTGGGAAAAATGGACTTCAAGAAGACTGGAACAAGCTTTCTGGGGTGCCAGAAAGGTCCTAAATTGTGATTGTGGTGGTGGTGTACACATTTGCTAAGACTCACGCAATGCAAAATGAGCACTAAAGATGGATCCATATCATTCCGTGTAAATTATAGTTCAATAAAGTTAAGATATTTTAACAGGCCCAATGGACCTTTCACCAAATTTGGAGATAATGTCAGGGATGATCTGATTTGCTATGAATATGGGATTATGTGGTAGATGTGGGGTTTACTTTGAATGACTCTGCAGGAGGCAGATGAGGGGAGGGAGTAGAGTTTTTTTCTATAGAGTGAGCTGTCTATTCATTTTAAAGATTTCAGTGAGTTGATATCATATCACTTATTGGAACTGCCATAATTTTATGGATGAGACACGGACCTAAGAGGAATAAATTGGTGCACTCCAGCATAACATTTGTATTTAATTTGGCACAACTTGGGCTTTAAGCAGTATGGGTAGACTCTTAAACTAAGAAGGACTATTTCTTCCTGATGCCAATCCACAGATTATTCTTTCCATGGTGAAATAAGGTTACTTGGACAATTTATTGGAACTGAGAATCTTTAGTGCACTGTTTATCGGAACTGAAAATATTTGGAGAATGTAGTTTATTGGAAATGACATCCCTGGAAGCTAAACAAATGAATGCATAAACTGATCTAGAGAATGAGACCTAGAAGGGTTCACCCTTCTCCCCAGCACCCTAGTGTGACAATACAAAACACTGATGTTTCTTAAACTTGATTGCACTTCATCATCTCCTGGAGAGCTTGTTAAAACATAGATTTCTGGGCCCCATCCCCAGAGCTTCTGATCCAGTAGGTCTGGGGTGGGGTCTGACAACGTGCATTTCCAGCAATTCCCAGGTAATGCTGATGCTGATGGTGACAACCAATGCTGTATACCCGGTCTTCTGGACCTATGTCCTACTATAGTTCTGGAATGGCATATCTATGAATCAACTAAAAAGAAATCTATTTATTTCACTAGCTACACCATCAGTATTAATAACAATAAGACAGGTCAAAAGAGAAAATGTCATGATTCTTAGAAACAAAGACGGACAAATTGTTCCTGCCTCAAATAATTTGTGGATAGATGAGTTTTTCTCAATTCTTAGATTACTAAGTAGCTTCTGTATTTCTGACATTAATTTTGCCACTCTCTTATCAGCAAACATGAATATTACACTATGTTCTGCTGATAAATGACAGTCATAAGTTCAAAATGTATATCATTTTCCAGTGTCAGATGACAAAGATAAGACAATTGTGAAGGAAGGACTAGTGATTAACAAGAAGTTATATTAAAAGTTGGAAAACAAGGAAGAAAACCACAAATAGCAATAGCAGCAGCAATTTCCCAGGGGAAAATAATTAGGCTTTAAAGAGCTTAATAGTCAAGGGACCAAGGAGGGAAGAAACATCTTAATTAGTAGGAAATGTAGATGAAAAGAAAACTACAATGTAAAAAAGGCTTGAAATATACAATATTGCCAGGTAAAATTGAAAAGAAAAAAAAAAAAAAGAAGAATAGGCCAGGTGCAGTGGCTCACACCTGTAATCCCAGCACTTTGGGAGGTAGAGGTAGAGGATTTCTTAAGCCCAGGAGTTTGAGACCAGATTGGCCAACATAGTAAGACTCTGTCTGTACAAAAATAAAAAATAAAAAAAAAATTAGCTAGGCATGGTTACGTGCCCTTTGTCCTAGCTACTAGGGAGGCTGAGGGAGGAGGATTCCTTGAAGCTGGGAGATGGAGGCTGAAGTGAGCCATGATCACGCCACTGAACTCCAGCCTCAGCAACAGTGAGACCCTGTCTCCAGGAGAAAAAAACAAAACAAAACAAAACAAGAAGCAGCAGCAGTAGCAGCAAAACCAAGCCAAGAAATAAAGGAGAGTTGTTTTATTTTTGTGCGATTATTTAATATAGCATTTAAAAATAAGATATACCTAGATACGGTAATTTGTGAAGGGGGAGAATCAGTTTTTTAAATAAATATTCTCATCTTATTTGGTGGATAAATATCCAACTCCAGGGAAATAGAAATCAGTGCCAGTTCCTCAGCACTGTAGAGGTCACAGCCTGAAGGAATTAGATGCTTCCCTGAAGGTGGAAGTGGGGAAGTGAATTTGGGGTGTGGAACATGGAACCTGTGAATAGTCACCTTACACAGCAAAGGGGGCTTTGCAGACAAGATTAAATTAAGGATCTTGAGATAGAGAGGTGACTGTATTATCTGAGTGGGCTCAATGTAATCACAAAAATCCTTTAAAAATGAAAGAGAGAGGAAGAAGGATCAAAGAAAGACATGTGACAATAGAAACAGAGTTCAGAGGGATTCAGCCATAGTCACGGGATGTGCACAACTTCAAGAAGCTGGACAAGGCAAGGAATACATTATCTCCCCCAGAACCTCCAGAAAAAACACGGTCCTGCAGGCCTATTTGACTACCAACATCAAGAAGTGTAAGATAATAAATCTGTGCTTTAAGCCACTAAGTTTACGGCAGTTTGTTACAGCAGCAACAACAGGAAACTAATTCAGATGTCTTGGGATGCTGGGTGGAACTGGAGAGCGTGTGTCTCCTCTAAAGGAAGAACACAAGTCTGCATGTGGCCAGATCTTCTAATTTATCAGGAGATGAGGTAAATCTGTTTGCATAAAGTTGGCAACTAGTAACACTGTGCAGGACCAAAAGTATGGTCAAAACATTGACTACTGCTCTTTATTTTCTTATTGAGTAGGTCCAATCATGCGATGCATCTAACTAAGGACACAGGATGGATAAAACAATGCAATGCCTTTTACTGGCTCAACGCTACACCCCAGACCACAGACCACACCAAAGCTTTGCAAGGCCAACCAAGAGTTCAGCAGTTGACAGAGCTCCTATATTTACAGCCAGGAGGCACTGCAAGCAAAGCATAGTTCATCATCTGTTCCCAAGTCTTTGGAAACTGAACTTCAGAGTGAGATTTTTCTTATATTCTAGATCATGGATGGGGTCAACCTGCACTATGGAGTCATTCTACAAAATGAAATTATTTCAGAAAAACAATTTGCTCTTTGCAGATAACAGGAATTATTAAAGTGCCAAACATTATTACTGAAACATGGCCAGACATATGGAAGTAACTTTTAAAAACAAAGACAAAAACAAAACAGAAAACCCCAGATTATTTTGCCTTAATATAATCCTCCTGTTAATTCTGTTCTTAGGGCGAGTTGACAGGGGAAGGGGAAAATGAGGTTTATCATGTTTGCAGAGACAGTGGCCTCTCTTAACATTCAGGCACTCGGCCAACAATATTTATTAAATGACAGTTTTCCAAAACACTAAACAAGAAAAGGAAATGCGAATGGAAATGCAAAATAAGTGTTAAGATGGTGTTTCTGCAAAGAGGACTTACATTGGAAGACATGGGAAGACTAATACATAAAATATAATTAGAGAGTAATTAACAGTCTTTATCTACACAGGAGAGTAACACCAAAAGGTTTATAAGCCAATGCAATATGCACTCAGGAAAGGGAGAGATGGACAGGGATTTGACTTATAGCAGTGAGGAAAGCTTCAGCAAGGTGAGGTTTTATGCTTAACTTTCAAGGATAGGTAGGATGTATGTAGAAAATGAGTAAGATATTCCACTCAACAGGGAATTGGCTTGGTGACTTCTCTCTTATTATGGAATCTTAAGTTTTTAGTTGAAGCTGAAAACATACTAAAACTGGCATTAAATGGTGGTCCTTTGTTATATGATGAATTCTTATATTCTAGATCATGGATGGGGTCAACCTGCTCTATGGAGTCATTCTACAAAATGAAATTATTTCAGAAAAACAATTTGCTCTTTGCAGATGAAAGGAATTATTAAAGTGCCAAACATTATTACTGAAACATGGCCAGACACATGGAAGTAACTTTTAAAAACAAAGACAAAAACAAAACAGAAAACCCCAAATTATTTTGCCTTAATATAATCCTCCTGTTAATTCTGTTCTTGACAAGTTGACAGGGGAAGGGGAAAATGAGGTTTATCATGTTTGCAGAGACAGTGGCCTCTGCAAGCACTCTGCCAAATATGGAAGATCGATTGATATTTCTTTCCATTCCATTGAGGCTTAAAATTATGAGGAGGGGGGAAATAGTCATTATTTCCCACAATTCTCCACTTACATAATACACAACTGCACAAATAAATGCAGATAATATGCTTCTGCCGCCTCCAATTACATCATCAGATGAAATATTCAAAGTAGAAGTCTCAGATACTGTTGCAACCCAGTAGAATGATGCTTAAATTTATAACCTGAATTTATTTTTCTTAAAACATGGCTCTCTGAGTTATTTTTTTGCCAAAACTGACTGTAGCAAGTGTTTGCAATACTTGTTCTGTCCTTTCCTCTCAGAGAAAAGCAACTATAAATTAAGTAACTTGGAAAACAAGATTAGAATAAATATGCACATACAGATTCTTGTTGTTCTGGTCTATAGTTTGACAACTATACATTAGCCCTAACAAAATATGGTCTCTGGTTTTAATTTTTGAATAGACAGCTGCTGAATATTTGTGCAGTTTGGTTCTAAGGATTGCATACTGTACTTTTTGAAACTACTGGAATATTCTCTTGCATTCTTTTGTGAGCAAGGAAACGTAAACTGTCTACTAAATGATGTACCTTTGAAAATCACTACATATTTCTTTGTAGCATTCTAAAGGGGACTGTAAAAGAAGCTTCTGAGCGCCTACCATATGATAGGTAACTCCAAGTTATACAATGTGGATTTCTTACAGAAAATACCTGAATAAACCCATCGTTTATAAATCATATTCACACACACACAAAAAAACTATGTCAAGGTGTGAATAAGAGCTTAAGGAGCTGTGTGAGTTTTCAGAGATGAGTCTCATATTCCACTGAAGTAGTGATTTGTGAAAAGGAGCAAACCAAAAATGGGAGTTTCATGGTACCGTCAAAGAACTCAATGTGAGCACTTTACAGCCCCTAAACAACTTTATGGTGCTGGTATAACTCATTCATTTTGACCATATCCCTACCGCTATGTTAGATATTCAAAAACTGCTTCTTCATGACCAAAGAGATTGTGGTACATTTTAACTTTCTGCCTCCAGGCCATTTTGAGAGTCTGGCAATTCAGACAATTAGCTTTCTGGATAGCTGAGGTTTTACCGACTCTGTGAACCCACATCAGGGCAGATCCAAATCAACCCCAGACCTTGTTAGGTACCTGAAGGTAAAGCTGACTGAAACTACTGCCCACAAACATGGAATGTCATGAATTATCATTATTACAAGGATAGAGCTTTCTGTTTCTGAAGAAGCAGTGTGAACCAACTTATATTTCAGGCTAAATGATGAGGTTACTGTATCCTCAAACACAATCTTCGTAGGAAACAGCTGCCTGAAAGAGGAGTTTTTTTTCTTTATATCCAGAGAAACCAGGTGTGTCAGCCCAAAGAACCTCTCAGAACATGGTTTACCTCCATGTCTTTGCATCTCTATTTATGTTATCTCACCAGCCATCTCATAAAACATGATAAGAATCAATAAAGTCATTGGAAAACATCTGTACCAAGTAAAAAACAGATAATCTAAGCTACTCTTGTTAAAACTTTAGTTCTGTCAGAAATAAATTAGTCCTAACAAACTAAATATTAATTTGTAAGAAAGTGTTGTACAACATGCATTCCTAAGTATGAAAGTAACTTGCATGAAATAAAACTGATCAAAGCACAATTTTGAAGAAATAAACTAACCACAGATCACTTGCAATCAGTAAATCCTTCTTTGGAGAGACTCAAAAAAGAACGTAAAGGTTGGGGAAGGAATGCAGGAACTTTCTCCGGTGGTGGTAATGTTCTATATCTTGCCAGGACTGATTTATCTGGGTGCGTCCACTTGTTGAAAGTTCAAGCTATGTACAAGTAAGGATGTGTGCATTTCATCGAATAGAAATTTCGTATGAATAACTGATAAGAAATATTGAACTCCAGTTAATAATAAGCATGCTGGAATATACAAACTATGCCTGCAGTTTATTTTTAAATCCATCAAAAATAAGACAGTGAAAGACAGAGGGATAAGTGGATGGACAGATAATAAAGGCAATAAAGTGTTCATGGTAGAATCTAGGAGGTGAATACACAGCTGTTCATTGTAAAATTCTTTCAAATTACTATATGTTTGAAATTTTCACAAACAATGTTGTGGAGGAAAGTACAATGGGAAGGAATCACTGAAGAATTTGGAGTATCACACCAACACCCCACTGCCCACTTCCTTCCCTTCAGGAGTTCAATTCACATGGTATCTAGAACCCTGGCAGAGTATTTATTTATTTATTTATTTATTTATTTATTTATTTATTAGACAGTCTTGCTCCGTCACCCAGGCTGGAGCGCAGTGGCACGGTCTCAGCTTACTGCAACCTCTGCCTCCCGTTTCAAGCGATTCTCCTGCCTCAGCCTCCAGAGTAGTTGGGATTACAGGTGTGCACCACCACGCCGGGCTAATTTTTTTTTTTTTTTTTAAGAGATGGGGTTTCACCATGTTGGCCTGGCTGGTCTCAAACTCCTGACCTCAAGTAATCTTCCTGCTTCGGCCTCCCAGAGTGCTGGAATTACAGACTGGCAAAGTGTTTACATTGAGAACTCAAGACACATATCTCACAAGCTGAGACATGGAAAGTTTTTATGAAAATCAAATGCCCAAAACTGGATTATTACATTGGAAAATTGTGTGTTAAGTGAGAGGAAGGAAGCAGCTCCTCACAAATAAAGTTTCTATATTTAAATTCACAGGGAGCTAAAGTGGAGCACCTGCAAGCCAGATTGGGCAGAGGATGCCACAGAAGACTCAGGTTCAAGATGCAAATCAAACTCAATGCATTTAAAAGGCTCCTGATTGGCAGGACATGAGGGCAGACAGGAGAAGAGGATGAGCCCTTGGTGGTTGTAGCAACCGCAAAGGGAGACTTGAGCTTGAAAGGTGGGTGTTGAGCTTGAACGCTTTCTTAATTGGTGGCTGCTTGGGCTGACAGGCAGGAGTTGGGGCTGCCAAGGATGACGAGTCCTGGAAAAGACTGCTGTGGAAGTTCAGCAGAGGTGACAATCCCACACATTTCTACCAGAGAAAACAAGCCACACATCATCAGTTATATCAGCCACAAAGCGGCCAGTGTCACCAGCTAGTCGATTCCCCTCAATCACATCTCAGTCATGAGCTTCGCAAACTGACTGCCCACTATGGACAGACAATGTCCATTAAGTGAAAAACAATGACCTGAGCAGTTATTTGGTATCTGGTGGTGTAGCTCCTCGCTAGTCAAAGTGTGGTCCCTGAAATGGTGGCATTAGCAGCACCTGGGAGCCTGTTAGCAATGCAGAATCTCAGGCCTCATCACCCCACACCTGCTGTGGTACAATATGCAGTTAACAAAATCACAAATGATTCACACGCACATTAAAGTGTGGAAAACAGTGGAGTGATCCGATAACAAGCCCACAGACCGAGTCTCAATTACTTGGGTCTTCTCAACAGCAGCTTCATCAACAGCGTCACCTTCAGAGAAGACAGGTGCAGGTAAACAGGTGCAGGTAAACAGGTAAGCAACATTAAGCCTTGCACACCTTGTCTCCTGGAAGCACCTTCTCCTGCTCTATAATGCTTCAGTTCTAGCCTCCATCTGTATAAGATAACTTACCCCAAAGCCCCGGGAGAGTCTATAAAGATAAAACACAGTTGAACTTGTGTTGAAAATTTGGAAAGTTTCATATGCTTTAATGTGTCTGGAAATATTCTCTGTATCTTTGGAGAGTGCATCACTTTATATGTAATTGCTCTTTAATGTAAAAAGCACATAAAGTGGTTTTTTTCCAACAGGTAATAACTATCAAAGGAATTCTTAGGCCACTGTCCCTGCTTCAGCTATAAAAGACAGCTGTGAAAGTTCTTCATGCACCCTTAAAAATTGCCATAGAATGTTGCATATTATTCATGTATAAATCTGTCGAAAATAAGTTTATTTTAATGGTCATGCTTTGTTTACTTCAGTCATTATAATTAAGATTGTTTATGCTCAAATATCTGTGGCTAGTCATGGTTTCACCGTTTGTTTCATAACTACATGTGTTTAAGGCGTGCCTAACTGAAAAAATAAAGTACGCAAATATGAAATATGTTTCTAAAGCTATTCAAAGCCAATTATTCGGTACTAAGTACAAGTTTCATACTTCAGCATCACTCCTCTGTCCATGAACATGTGCATATTATATGAAAAAATGGGTTTTAGAAACATAATTACCAAATACACAAACCAACTTTCTAAGTTGTTAATTTTTACTCTCTGATTTCAGAAAGGAATTTTACATAATGGCTCATTAACTTTCCAAGACAATGAATAAGTACGCGTTCATGTTCAAAGTATATTTTTATTCTCACTTCTTATTTAGGAAAAGAGACTTGAAAATAATCATTTTACCCATCTGAATATGGTTGAACAAAAAAAGTGGCAATCAAAACAAAATACTGAAATATGTCCCATATTTTCATTACTAATTATGAAAAAGAAAAATGAATTAGCTTTTTAAAATTTATGCCTTATAAAAAAAGTTTAACATCATCTGTGCTTTATCACATTATATTTAAGTATTCACAGAAAGTATTATCAAGGGACTGTTTTTTTTTAATAGACCTCATTTCTTAGAGCAGTTTTATGTTCATAGCAAAACTGAGCAGAAGGTACATAGATTTCCCATATATCCCCTGTCCCCACACACAGTTAATTTTTAAAATATGGAGTGTGATAAATAAAACACACCAAGAAATCCTACCAGCCAAGCAAATCATACCTATACATGTCTTATGGAAAACTCTATTCGAGTTACAGTTAGGTTTAGGAAAATTTTATAAAAAGAGATATTAAAATAAATATCTAATTGATGCCAAAATTACCACAAAATCACAGTGTCTAATATACTTTGTTGGCACAATTTTGTCTTCAATTTCTCTCTTATAAGAAAGTCTAAAGAAAAAAGTAATAATAAATATAACAATTTTCATGGGAAGTTTGGGTTCTCTAAGCAATATAGTATTTTCTATCACTAAATACAGCTATATCTGCTTACCTTCAGGGACCATGAAAATAAAACCGTGATAGCCCTCTACAAACAACAGAAACCATAAACTTAACAAAACTGCCCCCTCTATATAAATCTTAACTGCTATTCCTAAAGCCATTTTTCAGTATGCTTTTTTACCTGAAAAGGAGTCAGTAGGATTTCAACCTCACTCAGTCAGAAACAGGCACTGGAGAGCACGCCTGAGGCAGGTGGAGAACTTCAGAGGCAGTCACAGGTCTAGGATAAGCTCGCCCCTTCCAGAATGGGAAGGGGCAGGAGCCTCGGGATGAATTAGCCGGAGAAGCCAGGGACTATAACGCTGGTCCTTTCACGCAGAGTCCCACCCCTCCGCTACAAAGTGAGAGGCTGGGCAAACAGTGCCCACAGCCACAACAAAATATCCAGAGAGAGTGGCTGAGAGAGACTCTTTCAACTACCCTAAGTCGAACAACAAATACAGCAAACGCTTGTCACAGGCATATTGCCGAGGAACACTGCCCGGGAATGAGTAAGAGGCCCCAAACATAACAAGAAGAGCCACCTGATCAGAGGTTGGGTGTTTGTTTATAATAGGAAGAGTAAAATTGGAAGGCCACACCTGAACTCTTCCTTAAAACAAATCTTTGTTTTTTCTATACTGAAGTCTACAAAAAATTCAGGATATAAACTGAAAGAAAGGCACAACTGATTGCCCACAATTCAGGAAATGTAGTAACTTGGTTATAATATATTCATAATCTCTGTTCCAACCTCCCCAGTTGGGCTGGCATCTTTTACTGTTTTTCTCCTTTATAATACCTTCAGAGTTCAAGAAAGGAAATAAAACTTTAAAAATTTTTAAGTTACAAGTAGCACTGATATAAAGAAAAATAATTAAGAACTACTGTCTAAAATGAGATCTAGAGATTATCTGCCTTGCACAGATAGTAAAATGTTGAGACTTTTGTCCTGTTGGTATAACTCAAGAGGATTTTAATTCTACATCAAATTAACATGGTAACACACACACACACACACACACACACACACACACACACACAAACAGCCCCAGGTTTACCCATCCATCGGTGACAGCGTTACAATAAAAAATTTGGCATTTCCCAAAATGCTCAGAGAATGTAAAATGTTCTGCAAAACAAGGTTCCAGGATGTTTTAGGATGGCCAATCCACACTAATGTAAGTAGAATTCTATTCTGCAGGATTTCTCCAAGTTTTTAGTATGCTTATTTTCATTATAAATCTGTTAGAAGAGATTTTATGCTGTGCCTCCCACATTTAGTTAATCATGGGACCCTGTATTTGAGAGGCATCCAGAGAGAATTGTATTTTGTGAGAAAGATTTGGAAAATGCCAAAAACTCCAGATTTCATTTGCCAATTTTTAATC
The DNA here is from genome assembly GCF_000001405.40 of Homo sapiens. Taxonomy (NCBI): domain Eukaryota; kingdom Metazoa; phylum Chordata; class Mammalia; order Primates; family Hominidae; genus Homo; species Homo sapiens. The sequence continues at coordinate 9,165,446 of NC_000020.11, read as the reverse complement.
CACCAAGCTGATATTGTGACAAGTTTTCAACGCACTTGGTAAAATCATTAAATTATTAGGCTCCCCATCTGTCCCAACTTGTACTACTATCTCTAAAAATTACAGTGTGATCAGTACTAGATTTCACACTATTATAAAGCTTTCCCAAATGAAAGTATAGCGAATGGAAGCACACCCTACAGGTATTTAGTGGATATTTAGTATATGCTTTGCATTACACTAGAACATATAAGAAACAGCATGTTTTGTGCCCTCGAGAAGCTGGACTTTTTGTTTTGAACCTTGGCAGTTGCTATAGCGGGCACGTGCCTGTACTGTGGCCATCCATTTGCTCTCAAAAGCCGACTGTCAGACCTCAGAGATGAACATTCAGCCAATATATCATACAGAGTGGGCACCCAAGCCAAAATGCTGATGCAGGCTAGAAGTAACCATAAAAAACACCACCCAAATGCAATAGTGTTTGCATGCATATGTGCACATTTCAACCACTTTTACACAGGCAGACTCAAGAGGAAGAAACTGAGTCATGGCACCTCCAGCAAACCACGTGTAAAACCTGACTCTACCTCAAACGTTTCCATCAGTCTCAAGTCCTAGCATCCTGCAGTTCCCTCCACCTCCCCAGAAATCTCCTGACAGTCTATTGCTCTTATTTATATTGAAAAGACAGTTTTCAGGATAGAACCACAGAATAGACTGGTGGTTCACAGCTACTCCACAAAGATAATTAAGTCAACACTGCATATATTCATCCACTTGACTACTAAAGAACAAACTACTTCACACAAGTTATTTTTCCCAATCATGCCCCTGAAAGATTGAAATCTTTCTAAACTGAGTTATACTCTTCTAATGCTTCTAATAAGAAAATATTTAATATAATTTTAAAATGTCTTCAGTTTATATAGATTCTAATCAGTCAACAGAATCATAACTAAAATATTGTATTTAAGAGACTGTCATATGATGAGAAAAATATTTTACTTAAAAAATGATTCAGAAGACATGAGATGGTTTGATGTTGGGCAAGTCACTTAATTTCCCTGAGCCCCAGTTTCTTCATCTGTAAAACAGCAATAAAATCACTTCCCTCACAAGGGTGCATGCAAATAAAAAAAAAAGACTCCAAAGATTGGGGCAACTATTAGATACACATCATAATAACACTATAACATCTTGAGAAAATGTTCTTTCAGCCACCATTTACTGAAGGCCTGCCATGTGACAAAAAACAGGCAGTGAAACAGTCACTGTTTAATATGAAAACGATGCAGCTGTGTCTCATTATAATCAATGGCTACAGTCTGGGATGTTTTAAAAATTAATTGGTAAAGTAAAACAAGTTTATTGAAAAAGTTCAGACCACAGAAGGAATAAAGTTAAAAGTAAAAATACCCTTCATCTTTTGTATTAATTATAACCACTGCTTACTTTTAAGTTTGCCTATAATCACTTTTTTGGATGACTCACGCAAAATAGTTTCCTTTCAATAAATGAACTTATCTCGTTTACATTATGATTTCTAATAAGCAGGTGGTTCATCTTAATTCTATTATTTCAATTTATTATGCTTCCTGGTTTGATATTTTCTTTTGTTCTGATGTTTGCAATGTAATTTATTTAAATATGAAATGGAGGCAAATTACGGTATATAGAATGTAATAAAAATGTGATAAATCATGATCATGTAAAAAATAATAAATAGCATGATCAAGAGATTGGAAAAATGGAAGAAAATATGAATGTTCACGTTTTAAATTTTTCATATTTAGGACTCAACAGATACTGTCTAAAGTGAATAAATCTATAAGCATAATATTTTATTATTCCCATTTACAAAAATTTATTACCACAAAAAAGAAAAAACAGAATATAAACATAAATTATAGAAAGGAAAAAAAAAACATGGAGGATACTGTATAATCTACGAAACAAAACATCAAAAGAGGAACAAGTTCTGCTTCTCCAGGAACCCGCCTAGGGCTTCAACCTCTCTGTTCCCAATTAGGGATTTTGGCCATGACCTTGCAAAAAATCCACCTGCTGGGGCTCTAAGAGACACATATTTTGACTCTGCTCAGATTTGCTCCAAATTTGGCAGATATTCTTCAGAGGCTTAACATTTGGGGTTTAGCCATTCTCTACTTTTAGTGAAAAATTTCCCCCCACTTTTAGTTATTTTTTTCATCCCGGCAGTTTCAGAAAACAGAGTCGACATGTTTACTCAAGTTCCTTTAACAGAAACCCATCTCCCAATTTAGTTAGTTTCTTATTATTTTCTACATTCTTTAGTTTTCTGCCTCTCCACTACCCCTTCTAGCCACTGCTCCCCTTCCAATCTCTTGGTACTAAAATCAGTGGCTGAGCCAGCTTCCAAGGCCTGCAAAAGACAACTGTGTGCATCTATTCCCATCCCCAGGTTCAGTGATGCTGAACTGCTAGCTTAAAATTGGCCATGGTAAGAATATTTAAACCCCAGAAATTGGTAAAAATACAAATCACCTCCACCCCACCAGTGGTTAAATGTATACCAGCATACCCCCGGAAAGGTCTGTACATTTTAAAAAACAGCTTTTCAGAACAATATGTAAAGTAAGACTATAAACATTTTTACTGAGAACAAGATAAGGCTTTTAGGCTTTTTTTTAAATGAGCTAATATTGCACCTCCACAAGAGGCACTGGTATAATATATTTATTATTCACATTTACAATAGTTTATTACCACAAAAAAGGAAAAACACAATATAAATGTAAATTATAGAAAGAAAAAAACATGGAGGATGTTGTACATTCTAGGAAACAAAACATAATTGATGAACGTAACTACTATAGGACTAGTAAACATGAACGAAGGCTGTGTTTCCAGAGCAAATACCATCCTTTCCAATTCCCTTTAATATAAATATACAGCATCTTTTCCCATATTAACTCCGAATAGCATATTGAATCTGTTTTTTGACTCTCATTACTGAGGAGTTTAAGAAAGCACCAACATATTAATTCACCATGACGTGACAGTTAAGAAAACTTTTTAGGTACAGGTATACCTCTGCTTCTCTCTTTCCTCTTGCCCAATACCCAAAACATACACAAATCGCCACATTTTGCTTCCTTTTCCTCCAAAAGTCTATGGATTAAAGACAAAACAATTATGTAATAATGCCCTTGATCCTTTCAACCTTGCAAAAGATTGACTTTAAAGCTGACAACCCAGGATGCTCAGGGTAAAGTCAACTCATTGTTTCAGGGAACAAGGGACAAATTAGCAGAGAACATTATTTTAAAGCAGGGTATGACATTCTAATAAACACTGCCAATTCCATCTGCCTGGGTCATCCACTCTAATGAATCGTGAAACTAAAAGATTTGACAAAAAAAACAGAACATGCTAAAGAAATAAAGGATATAAACTTAAATATCATATGAATTAAAATTCTCATCAATGTTCCTCCAGCTCTTCATGCTGGCTGCATTGAACATCTATTATAGTATCAGTGATTATCGGCATTAATGTATTCTGCCAATAGTATTAGTGTTATTTAATTTTAGTTTATTAATAATTATCTTTTCGTATCACAGAATGGAACCTCTGTTTTGATTCACCAGGTAACAAACACTCTTTTTTGTAGAATCTAAAAAGTGAAAAAGCAGTTACCTTTCAAGTTAGAACAGAATCCACAGAACAATAAAAATGCTTCATAAGTTATTTTGTCTACATACTTTATTCTACTCCAAGAAAAAAAATATACAAAGTCCAATACAAGCAATGCTGGGTATTATTCAGAAGACATAGCTTCACTTTTGTCTCTTCGAGTCAATAAAATAAAATTTATTTCACAGAACATGATTTGTGCACTGGCAATGGCTGCAAGCCAGACTTTCCTATGATTAACCAAACACTGGTAATCAACAGCTCCTGGGTGGTAAAATCAGCCAGACAGCACAACATGGTAGGTAAGAGCAGCGGATTGCACTCCAACAAACCTGGGTTGGCATCAGAGCGATTTGATTTTGGACAAGTTAACCTCTCTACTGTCCATCTTCTCACTGAGTTCACAAGCCAACGTTATCTTCCCTATAAAACTAGAACTTTCCCTTTAAAATTAGTAAAAACCATGAACCACTTAGGATAAATGCTAACTATAAAATGCAGTTCTCAAAAAGGCAAGGGATTACTTAACATGTGGAAAGAACCTAGGTTTTCAAATCAAATAAGCTGCGTTCAAACCCTAGCCCCATTATGTACCAGCTGTTTATGGGGCATTGGACTAATTACAAACCTTATAAACTTGTTTCCTGATTTGTAAAATTGGGATAATGATATCTATCTAAAAACTTTTACATATCTCAAATAACCACTGTCTCAAAAATAATTTATATTTATCTGTCAGCACAGAGTAAGTGCTGAGATGTCAGCTGCCTTGCTGCTTGAGATTTCATTGTTTGAATCACTTGCTAATGCAACTCTGGCTCGCTTTCTGCTTTCACTCAACTTGGAAGCACTTCTCCTCTCTAGCAAACTATCTGAAGACCTGCCACTAATAAAAGTCCTTTTCATGCTATTTCAGGCTGCCAGCATGAGTAATTTCCCAAGAGAAAGAACCTTATTTTCTAGTATGTTCTGCTAATCCTCCAAACCCGAAGTCCAGAAGAAACCTCTCTGTTTTCCACAAGGCTTCTCCCTTTTCTATGCCCTTGCAGGCTCTCCCTTCTCACAAAGATACACAGAACAAAGGAGCAGAAGTTACCTCCACCATTACCTCGGTCTAGAAAACAGCTTGTAACTATTCTTTGTCATTATAAGAAAGCAGCTCCTCACTCCAAGCTCACTTTCTGCATTCTTTTTTAGTTGCAAAAACTGAAATTGATTCTATTTCTTCAGGAAGCTATAAAACATGCATGCACACACACAGGCACATATTTTGTTGTGGTTTCCTGTCACCAAGCAAAAATTATAAAATACCAAAAACATCAGCTGCCCAATTTAACTCTGTGCGTTCATTTACTCAACACGTATCTACTGAGTGCCCACCATGCTCCCGGCGCTGTGTCAGGTGCCAGGTATATACGGATGAATAAACAGACATGGTCCACTTCCTTGAGGACCTAACTATCCTGGACTTCTTTCATCTTTTCCCCAAGCCAGGACACACTTCTAACGAGCTCTGGTTTCCAAAACCTAGCCCAGGGCAGGGCAGGACAATTAAGGGCTACATCTAAATAAGCCACAGCAAATGTTAGAGACCCACCCCCCACACTCCCAGCCACAATTCTCTACTCAACAGATGAAACCTGCACATAAAGGTGCTCTCTATTATGCCACCAAACGGAGTTGGATCCAGCTCACCCTGCTGTCCTGGCTAGAACTGAGCAGCAGCTCCTTGGCGACACAGGTCCTGTGGCAGCTTTAGTGTGGAGGGACGTTCAGCTTGTCTTCCTGTAGTATGGCCACCTCTTCTCCCTAACTATGGGCAACTAAACAGGCCTAAAATCTATCAGAAGCCTTCTGAAGTTCACGAGCACACTGAACGGTAAAAGACCATTGTAATAATTTCACCATCCATGCAAGCCACAGTTAATATCTTGCTATGACTTTGGAACCATAATATTTAATATTAGTGTTTAATATTTAAATATAATATTTCAAAATAGATACTGAGCAAGATGAAGCCAGTTTCATTCACCATCTTTATGTCTGTAAAAACTTTCATCAAGCCAAGCTCTCTGCCCTCCTGGGCTCACTGTGTATAGAGGAGCTACTGCTAACGGAATCATCTTGATTAAGAATTCATATACTGTAAAAGGCATCAGAAAAACATAATCAGAATACAGGGAAATTATATGATCAGATAATCAGCAAAACCTTCAGATGCAGATTAACTTATTGTTCAACTGATGAGTCTTAAGTATGTTCATGAATTGCTTTTAAAGAGGTCTTGGGAATTAAGAAGATCCCTCTTATCACACAAAAACATGCTAAATCTCTTTATTTTAAACTCAAAGATGAAAAGACACCTTTTACTTTTTGCACTATAATCAATATATAATAATCCTATGTTAATCATGCATATCATACACTGTCCTCTTGGTAACAAAGGGACACTAGTCCCAATGGTCTCCAACATGTACTTGAGAAAGCTTAAAGCTCTCTGATGTTTCAACCAATAAGTATCTGTCAAGGATAAAAAAAGGATCAATTTAAGGCCATTTTCTAAGTAGTCTGATTTAAAATTCAGGAGTAACCACACCTTCTTAGATAATAACTTGGATAAAAATCACCCATACATCTTCCCACAAAGCAACCTAAACTGGCCTTCTAGAGACCAGATAAAGTGGTAAGGGACTTTAGGGCTAATCATTCAGATAATAGCTTTACTTGGATTGGCTTAATAATACAGGCCTGAATTCATTTAAACATCTTTCTGCTTCACTTTCCCTAAGATAATTCTAAAAACAGTACAACATCTTTGTATTTTAGACAAGTGATTCTCAGAGTGTAGGAGCCATTAACACTAATAAACTACAAGGTGATTTTAGATGATTTACAAATTCAGTATGGAATAAGACAGACTCTCCTAGTAGAAAAATTTAATCCCTGACTCTGAACTGATTGCATCAAATAGTCTCAACCCTATAGAGCATGCCTTTAAAATCTCTCTGTCTCAATAAAGAAAGGACGTCCTCTGACGCAGGGTTTTTGGCAGCCAGTGGCATCTACTTAGGATTGAATAACACTAAATGGTTTTCACTGTTTAGTTTTTATTGGGTATCTACTATTTGCACACATAATAGTTTTCCATTTAAGATAGAGGTGTAAGGTTTCTCTTTTAAATACTGTTTTGTACGGTTAAAAAAAAAAAAAAACGTGAGAGTGGCCAGGTGCAGTGGCTCACGCCTGTAATCCCAGCACTTTGGGAGGCCAAGGAGGGTGGATTACATGAGGTCAGGAGTTTGAGACAGGCCTGGCCAGCATGGTAAAATCCCAAATCTATTAAAAAAAAAAAAAAAATTAGCCAGGTGTGGAGACACTTGCCCATAGTCTCAGCTACTTGGGAGGCTGATGGAGGAGGATCACTTGAACCCGGAAGGTGGAGGCTACAGTGAGCTGAGATCATGTCACCACACTACAGCTTGGGCAACAGAGCAAGACTCTGTCTCAAAAAAAAAAAGTGAGAAACATTAAATAATAATAGAAGTAAAATACAACTATGGCAAAAAGCATGCAGATGGTATCTGTATGACTGATATTGGGAAACACTGTTTGAAAATACTTGTAGTGTAGTGATTATAATAGCCTGGGTTTGAATCCTAGCTTTGAAACTTCCTTGCCGTGTGACTTTGGGCAAATTACTTAGAATCCTTGTGCCTTGGTTCCCTCATCTGTAAAATGGAGACAAGGATAGTACCTACTTCAAAGGGTTATCGTGAAGATAAATGGTGGAACAGGTAAAGGGCCGAAAGGCTAGCTGACATATAGGAAGAATTCAACATAAATTAGTTTTGCTTGTTTGAGATAGGGTCTCACTCTGTTGCCCAGGCTAGAGTGAAATGGCATGATCACAGCTCACTGCAGCCTCAAACTCTTGGGCTCAGGAGGCTCCTTAGCCACAGTCTCCCAAATAGCTAGGACCACGCACCATCACACCCAGCATAAATGAGCTACTACCAGTAAAATTACTAGTATTTTGTAAATATATCTAGATGAGTAATTATATACTCAAACTCAACTCTTTGGTCTGTGAATTACAACATAAGAGAAGGAGGCTTCTTCATGGACTCTTGTATAGATGAAAGGGAAAGCTCATTTTGTTGTTTTATTTTTTAAATGAAATGTCAAACAATTGAGGAGTCTCATAAACCCATGTGACTCCCCAGGAATGAGAAAATCAAGTGCACTATCTTGAATTCCACACTATAGTTTCCTTCTCTCCCTACTTAAAGGTTCCAATTTTTAATTACTAAGAGTTAAAAATGAGGCTGCCATTCCTTACCTATATGACACCAACCAAAATGTATTTAAACCAGACACAAGGTTCCTTCAGCATTTTAACATTCTGCCCAATTCATGCAGCATCCCAAGAATTGCTATCTTCATGAATGTTAGCACAGTAAATGACTTTTTGTTTAAATTATAGCCACTTTCCATGCAATGAGACTTTTTGAAAATCTGCTTGAATATAAAAGGCAAGTTGGTATC